>NT_187433.1:97372-120213 GCF_000001405.40 Homo sapiens
AGATTTATCCATTTCTTCTAGATTTTCTAGTTTATTTGCATAGAGGTGTTTGTAGTATTCTCTGATGGTAGTTTGAATTTCTGTGAGATCGGTGGTGATATGCCCCTTATCATTTTTTATTGCATTTGATTCTTCTCTTTTTTCTTCTTTGTTAGTCTTGCTAGCGGTCTATCAATTTTGTTGATCCTTTCAAAAAACCAGCTCCTGGATTCATTAATTTTTTGAAGGGTTTTTTGTGTCTCTATTTCTTTCAGTTCTGACCTGATTTTAGTTATTTCCTGCCTTCTGCTAGCTTTTGAATGTGTTTGCTCTTGCTTTTCTAGTTCTTTTAATTGTGATGTTAGGGTGTCAATTTTGGATCTTTCTTGCTTTCTCCTGTGGGCATTTAGTGCTATAAATTTCTCTCTAAACACTGCTTTGAATGTGTCCCAGAGATTCTGGTATGTTGTGTCTCTGTTCTCATTGGTTTCATGCTGCTATAAAGACACATGCATGTGTATGTTTATTGTGGCACTATTCACAATAGCAAAGACTTGGAACCAACCCAAATGTCCAACAATGATAGACTGGATTAAGAAAATGTGACACATATACACTATGTAATACTATGGAGCCATAAAAAATGATGAGTTCATATCCTTTGTAGGGACATGGATGAAATTGGAAATCATCATTCTCAGTAAACTATCACAAGGACAAAAAACCAAACACCACATGTTCTCATTCATAGGTGAGATTTGAACAACGAGAACACATGGACACAGCAAGGGGAACATCACACTCTGGGGACTGTTGTGGGGTGGGGGGGAAAGGAGGTATTGCATTAGGAGATATACCTAATGCTAAATGATGAGTTAATGGGTGCAGGACACCAGACTGGCACATGTATACATATGTAACTAAGTTGCCCATTGTGCACATGTACCCTAAAACTTAAAGTATAATAATAATAAAATGAAATAAATAAATAAATTAAAAGAAATATATTCACATAAAAACTTGACAGAAGCATTCTGAGGAACTTCTTTGTCATGTGTGCATTCATTTCACAGAGTTGAATCTTTATTTTCATTGAGCAGTTTTGAAACACTCTTTTTTCAGAATCTGCAACTGGATATTTGGAGCCCGTTGAGGCCTATGGTGGAAAATGAAATACCTTCACATAAAAATCAGACACAAGCATTCAGAGAAACTTCTTTGTGATGTCTGCATTCAACTCCCTGTGTTGAACTTTTCTTTTGATTGAGGAGTTTTAACACACTTTTTCTGTAGTATCGGAAACTGGATATTTGTAGTGTTTTGAGGCCTACAGAGGAAAAGGAAATATCTTCACATAAAACCTAGAAAGAAGCATTCTGAGAAAATTCTGTGATTTTTGCATTCATCTCACAGAGTTGAAGATTTCTTTTTTGAGAAGTATTTAATCACTTTTTTTGCAGAATCTTCAAGGGGATATTTGGAGCACTTTGAGGCCTTTGGTGGAAAAGGTAATATCTTCACATAAAAATCAGACACAAGCATTCTGAGTAACTTGTTTGTGATGTGTGCATTCAACTCCCTGTGTTGAAACTTTCTTTTGATTGAGCAGTTTTAACACACTCTTTTTGTATAATCTGCAAGTGGATATTTGGAGAACTTTGATGCCTATGATGGAAAAGGAAATATCTTCACATAAAAGCTAGACAGAAGCATTCTGAGAGTGTTCTTTGGATGTATGCATTCTTCTCACTGAGCTGAACCTTTCTTTTTTGAGAAGTATTTAATCACTCTTTTTGTAGAATCTGCAAGTGGATATTTGGAGCGCTTTGAGGCCTTTGGTGGAAAAGGAAATATCTTCACATAAAAACTATACAGAAGTATTTTGAGGAACCTCTTTGTGATATGTACATTCATCTCACAGAGTTGAGCCTTTCTTTTGATTGAGCAGTTCAGAAACACTCTTTTTGTAGGATCTGCAAACGGATATTTGGAGTGATTTGAGGCCTATAGTGGAAAAGGAAATAACTTCATGTAAAAAGTAGATAGAAGCATTCTGAGAAATTTCTTTGTGATGTGTGCATTCATCTCACAGAGTTAAACCTATCTTATGATTGAGCAGTTTTGAAACACTCTTTTTGTGGAATCTTCAATTGGATATTTGGAGTGCTTAGATGCCTGTGTTGGAAAAGGAAATATCTTCACATAAAAACTAGTAAGAGTCATTCTGAGAAAGTTCTTTGTGATGTGTGCATTCATCTCACAGAGCTGAAATTTTCTTTTGATTGAGCAGTTTAGACACAGTATTTTTCTCACCTGCAAATGGATATTTAGAGCACTTTGAGGCTTATGGTGAAAAAGAAAATATCTTCCCATAAAAACTAGGCAGAAGCATTCTGGGAAACCTCTTTGTGATGTGTGCATTCATGTCACAGAGCTGATGCTTTCTTTTGATTGAGCAGTTTTGAAAAACTTTTTCATAGGTTGTGCAAGTTGATATTTGGAGTGCTTTGAGGCCTATGGTGGAAAAGGAAATATCTTCAAATAAAAACTAGACAGAAGCATTCTGAGAAATTTCTTTGTGATATGTGCATTCATGTCACGAAGTTGAACCATTCTTTTGATTGAGCAGTTTTGAAACACACTTTTTGTAGTATCTTCAATTGGATATTTGTAGCGCTTTGAGGCCTATGGTAGAAAAGGAAACATTGTCACATAAAAACTAGATAGAAAAATTCTGAGAAACTTCTGTCAGATGGGTGCATTCATTTCACAGAGTTGAACCTTTCCTTGGATTGAACAGTTTGGAAACAGTCGTTTTGTAGAATCTGCAGAGGGATATTTGTGAGCCCATTGAGACGTATGGAGTGATAGGAAATATCTTCACATAAAAACTAGACAGAAACTTTCTGAGAAACTTCTTTCTGATGTGTGCTTTCATCTCACAGAGTTGAACTTTTCTTTTGATTGAGCAGTTTTGAAACACTCTTTTTGTACAATCTGCAAGTGGATATTGGGAGCACTTTCAGGCCTATGGTGGAAAAGGACATATCTTCCCATTAAAAACTAGACAGCAGCATTCTGAAAAACTTATTTGTGATCTGTGCATTCATCTCACAGAGTTGAACCTTTCTTTTGATTCAGCAGTTTTGAAACTGTCGTTTTGTAGAATCTGCAAAGGGATATTCGTGAGCCCATTGAGGCTTCTGGGGTGATAGGAAATATCTTCACATGTAAACTAGACAGATACTTTCTGAGAAACTATTTTGTCATGTGTGACTTCAATTCACCCGGTTGAAACTTTCTCTTTATTGAGCAGTTTGGAAACAGTCTTTTTGTAGAATCTGCAAATGGATATTTGGAGTGCTTTTGGCCTATATTGAAAAACGAAATATCTTCCCATAAAAAGTAGGCAGAAGCTTTCTGAGAAATTTCTTTGTGATGTGTGCATTCATCTCACACAGTTGAACTTTTCTTCTGATTAAGCAGTGTGGAAAAACTCTTTTTGTAGAGTGTGCAATTGGATATTTGGAGCGCTTTGTGGCCTATAGTGAAAAAGGAAATATCTTCGCATAAAAACTAGACAGAAGAATTCTGAGAACCTTCCTTTGAATGTGTGCATTCATCTCACAGTGTTGAACCTTTTTTTTGATTCAGCAGCTTCTAAACATTAATTTTTCAAATATGCAAAGGAATATTTGTGAGCCCATTGATGCCTCTGAGGAAATAGGAAATATCTTCACATAAAAACTAGACAGAATCTTTCTTAGAAAATTCTTTGTGATGTGTGCATTCATCCCACTGAGTTGAACTTTATTTTGATTGAGCAGTTTGGAAACAGTCTTTTTCTAGTATCTGCAAATTGATCTTTTAAGCGCTCTTAGGCCTACGGTGAAAAAGGAAATATCTTCAATATAAATCAGACAGAAGTATTCATAGAAACTTCTTTGTGATGTGTGCATTCATCTCACAGATTAGAACCTTTCTTTTGACTGAGCAGTCTTGAAACACTCTTTTAGCAGAATCTGCAATTGTATATTTGGAGTGCATTAGGAATATGGTGGAAAAGGAATCTTCTTCACATAAAAACGATACAAAAGCATTCTGAGAAACTTCTTTGTGATCGGTGCATTCATTTCACAGAGTTGAACTTTTCTTTTGATTGAGCAGTTTTGAAACACTCTTTTTGTGCAATCTGCAAGTGGATATTTGGAGCACTTTGAGGTCATTTGTGGAAAAGTACATATCTTCCAATAAAAACTAGACAGAAGTATTCTGACAACTTTTTGTGATATGTCCATTCATCTCACAGAGTTGAACCTTTCTTTTTATTGAGCAGTTTGGAAACAGTATTTTTGTAGAATCTGCAAGTGGATATTTGGAGCACTTTGAGGCCTATGGTGGAAAAGGACATATCTTCCCATAAAAACTAGACAGCAGCATTTTGGGAAACTTCTTTGTGATGTGTGCATTCATTGCACAGAGTTTAACCATTCTTTTGATTGATTAGTTTGGAAACTGTCTTTTTGTAGAATCTGCAAAGGGATGTTTGTAAGCACATTGAGGCTTCTGGGGAAATAGAAAATACCTTCACATAAAAACTAGAGAGATAATTTTTGAGAAACTTATTTGTCATGTGTGACTTCATCTCACCAGGTTGAAACTTTCTCTTGATTGAGCAGTTTAGAAACAGTCTTTTTGTAGAATCTGCAAACGGATATTTGGAGTGCTTTTGGCCTACGGTGAAAAACGAAATATCTTCCCCTAAAAACTAGACAGAGGCTTTCTGAGAAACTTCTTTGCACTGTGTGCATTCATCTCACAGAGTTGAACTTTTCTTTTGATTGAGCAGAGTGGAAACACTCTTTTTGTAGAATCTGCAAGTGGATATTTGGAGCGCTTTGTGGCCTACAGTGGAAAAGGAAATATCTTCAAATAAAAACTAGACAGAAGAATTCTGAGAAACTTCCTTGGAATGTGTGCATTTATCTCACAGTGTTGAACCATTCTTTTGATTGAGCAACTTCGAAACAGTCGTTTTGTAGAATATGCAAAGGAATGTTTGTGAGCCCATTGAGGCCTCTGTGGAAATAGGAAATATCTTCACATAAAAACTAGACAGAATCTTTCTGAGAAACTTCTTTGTGATGTGTGCATTCATCTCACTGAGTTGAACTTTCTTTTGGTTGAGCAGTTTGGAAACAGTCTTTTTGTAGTATCTGCAAATGGATATTTGGAGCATATTGAGGCCTATGGTGAAAAAGGAAATATCTTCACATAAAAATCAGACAGAAGCATTTGTAGAAACTTCTTTGTGACATGTGCATTCATCTCACAGATTTGAACCTTTCTTTTGATTGAACAGTTTTGAAACTGTCTTATAGCAGAATCTGCAAGTGTATATTTGGAGCGCATGTGGAATATGGTGGAAAAGGAATCTTCTTCACATAAAAACTAGAAAGAAGCATTCTGAGAAACTTCTTTGTGATGGGTGCATTCATTTCACAGGGTTGAACCTTTCCTGTGATTGAGCGGTTTGGAAAGAGTCATTTTGTATAATCTGCAGAAGGATACTTGTGAGCTGATTGAGGCCTATGGGGCGATAGGAAATATCTTCACATAAAAACTAGACAGAAACTTTCTGAGAAACTTCTTTGTGATGTTTGCTTTCATCTCACAGAGTTGAAACTTTCTTTTGATTGGGCAGTTTGGAAGCCGTCTTTTTGTGATATCTGCAAATGGATATTAGCAGCACTTTGAGGCCTATGGTGAAAAAGGAAATATCTTCCCATAAAAACTAGGCAGAAGCATTCTGAGAAACTTCTTTGTGATGTCTGCATTCATCTCACAGAGCTGAACATTTCTTTTGATTGAGCAGTTTTGAAACACTCTGTTTGTAGAATCCACAAGTGGATGTTTGGAGTGCTTAAAGGCCTATTGTGGAAAAGGAAATATCTTCACATAAAAACTAGATAGAATCTTTCTCAGAAACTTCTCTTTGTTGTGTCCATTCATCTAACACAGTTGAACGTTTCTATTGATTCAGCAGTTTGGAAAGAGTCATTTTGTTGAATGTGCAGAGGGGTATTTTTGAGCCAATTGAGGCCCATGGGGCAATAAGAAATATCTTCACATAAAAACTAGACAGAAACTTTCTGAGAAACTACTTTGTGATTTGTCTTTTCATCTCACACATTTGAACCTTTCTTTTCATTAAGAAGTTTGGAAACAGTATTTTTGTAGTATCTGCAAATGGATATTTGAAGGGCTTTGAGTCCTATGATGAAAAAGGAAATATCTTCAGACAGAAACATTCCTAGAAACTACTTCGTTTTGTCTGCAATCACCACATTGTGTTGTACCTTTCTTTTGATTGAATAGTTTTGAAACACACTTTTTGCAGAATCTGCAAGGGGATACTTGGAGTGCTTTGAGGCCTATGGTGGAAAAGAAAATATCTTCATATGGAAACTAGAAACAAGCATTCTGAGAAACTTCATTGTGATGTGTGCATTCACTACACCGAGTTGAACCTTTCTTTTCATTGAGCAATTTGGAAACCGTCGTTTTGTAGAATCTACAGAGGGATATTTGTGAGCCCATTGAGGCCTGTGGGGTGATAGGAAATATCTTCACATAAAAACTAGACAGAAACTTTCCTAGAAACTTGTTTGTGATCTGTGCTTTCATCTCACAGAGATGAGCCTTTCTTTTGATGGAGCAGTTTGAAAACACTCTTTTTGTAGAATCTGCAAGTGGATGTTTGGAGCGATTTGTGGTCTATGGTGGAAAAGGAAATATCTTCAAATAAAAATGAGACAGAAGCATTGTGAGAAACTTCGTTGTGATGTGTGCATTCATTTCACAGAGTAGAGCCATTCTTTTGACTGAGCAGTTTGGCAACAGTCTTTTTGTAGTATCTGCAAATGGATAATAGCAGCATTTTGAGACCTATGGTAAAAAAGGAAATATCTTCCCATAAAAACTAAGCAGAAGCATTTTGAGAAACTTCTTTGTGATGTGTGCATTTGTCTCACAGAGTTAAACCTTTCTTTTTATGGAGCAGTTTGGAAACAGTCTTCTTGTAGTATCTGCAAGTGGTAATTTGAGTGCTTTGAGGCCTATGTTGGAAAACGAAATATCTTCACGTTAAGACTAGACCGAAGCTTTCTGGGAAACTTCTTTGAGTTGTGCGCATTCATCTCACAGAGTTGAACCTTTCTTTTGATTAAGCAGTTTTGAAACACTCTCTTTATAGTGTCTGCAAATGGATATTTGGAGCGTTTTGAGGCCTATAGTGGAAAAGGAAATATCTTCACATAAAATCTAGAAAGAAGAATTCTGAGAAACTTCCTGGTGATGTGTGCTTTCATCTCACACTGTTGAACCTTTCTTTTGATTGCACAGCTTTGATACAGTTATTTTGTAAAATCTGAAAGGGAATATTTTTGGGCCCATTGAGGACTCTGGGGAAATAGGTAATATCTTCACATAAAAACTAGACCCAAATTTTCTGAGAAAATTTCTAGTGATATGTGCATTCATCACACAGAGTTGAACTTTCTTTTGATTGGGTAGTTTGTAAACAGTCATTTGTAGTATCTGCAAATGGATATTTGTAGTGTGTTGAGGCCTATGGAGAAAAAGAAAATATCTTCACATAAAAATCAGACAGAAGAATTCTGGGAAACTTCTTTGTGATGTGTCCATTCATCACACAGACTTCAAACTTTGTTTTGTTGAGCAGTTTTGAAACAGTCTTTTTTTACAATCTGCAAGTGGCTATTTGGAGCACTTTGATTCCTATAGTGGAAAACAAAATATCTTCACATAAAAACTAGACAGAAGCATTCTGCGAAACTTCTTCCTGATATGTGCATTCATCTCACAGGTTTAAAGTTTCTTTTGATTGAGCAGTTTGGAAACAGTCGTTTTGTAAAATCTACAAAGGGATATTTGTGAGCCCATTGAGACCTCTGGGGTAATAAGAAATATCTTCACATAAAAACTAGACAGAAACTTTCTGAGAAACTTCTTTGTGATGTGTGCTTTCATCTCAGAGAGTTGAACCTTCCTTTTGATTGAGAAGTATTGAAACACTCTTTTTGTGGAATCTGCAAATGGTTATTTGAGCGCTTTGAGATTTATGGTGAAAACGGAAATATCTTCACATAAAAATTAAACAGAAGCTTTCTATGAAACTTCTTTGTGATGTATGCATTCATCTCACAGAGTTCAACTTTTCTTTTGATTGAGCAGTTTGGAAACAGTCTTTATCTATAATCTGCAAAGGGATATTTGTTAGCCGTTTGAGGCCTCTGCTTAAGAAGTAATATTTTCACATAAAAACTAGACAGCAGCTTTCATAGAAAGTTCATTTTTATGTGTGCTTTCATCTCACAGAGTTGACTTTTCTTTTGATTGAGCAGTTTGGAAACAGTCTTTTTGTAGTATATGCGGAGTGATATTTGTGAGTGTTTTAAGGCCTATGGTGAAAAAGGAAATATCCTCACATAAAAACTAGACAGACGCTTTCTGAGAAACGTCTTTGTGATGTGTACATTCACGTCAAAAGTTGAACCTTTTTTTTTTGATTGAGCAGTTTGGAAACAGTCTTTTATAATACCTGCAGTGAGATATTTCTGAGCATTTTGGGGACTGTGGTGAGAAAGGAAATATCTTCACATAAAACCTAGTCAGAAGCATTCTGAGAAACTTATTTGTGATGTGTGCATTCAACTCACAGAATGGAACCATTATTTTGATAGAGCAGTTTGGAAACAGTCCTTTTGTAGGATCTGCAAAGGGATATTTCTGAGTCCATTGAGGCCTATGTTGAAAAAGGAAATATCCTCACTTAAAAACTAGACAGAAGCTCTCTGAGAAACTTCTTAGTGATGTGTGCTTTCATCTCACAGATTTGAACCTTTCTTTTGAAGGAGCAGTTTGGAGACAGTCTTTTTGTAGAATCTGCAAATGGATACTTGGAGTGCTTTGAGGCCTATGGTGAAAAAGGAAATATCTTCACATTAAAACTAAACAGAAGCTTTCTGAGAAACTTCTTTTTGATGAGTACGTACATCTCACAGAGTTGAACCTTGCTTTTCATTGAGCAATTTGGAAACAGTCTTTTTGTACAATCTGCAAAGGGATATTTCTGCGAAGTTTGAGAACTGTGGTGAAAAAGAAATATCTTCAGATAAAACCAGACAGAAGTATTCTGAGAAACTTCTTTGTGATGTATCCATTCATCTCACAGAGTTGAACCTTTCCTTTGATGGGGCATTTTGGAAACAGTCTTTTTATAGTATCTGCAGAGGTATATGTGAGAGCAGTTTAAGGCCTATTGTGTAAAAGGAAATATCTTCACATAAAAACTAGGCAGAAGCATTCTAAGAAACTTCTTTGTGATGTGTGCATTCATAGGAATGTGGTGAACCTGTCTTTGAATTGAGCAGCTTGGAAACAGTCCTTTTGTAGCATCTGTGAAGGGATATTTATGAGCCCTTTGAGGCCTGTGGTGAAATAGGAAATATCTTCACATAAAAACTAGACCGAGGATTTCTGAAAAACTTCTTTGTGATATGTGCTTTCATCTCACAGAGTTGAACCATTCTTTTGGTTGAGCAGTTTTGAAACAGTCTTTTTGTAGGATCTACACAGGGATATTTCTGTTCCCTTTGATGCCTATGGTGAAAAACGACATATCTTCACATGAAAACTAGACAGAAGCTTTTGGAGAAACTTCTTTGTGATGTGTCCATTCATCTCACTGGGTTGAAGCTTTCTTTTGATTGAGCAGTTTGGAAACAGTCTTTTTGTAGAATCTGCAATGGGATATTTGTGGGCCCTTTATGGCCTACGATGAAACAGGAAATATCTTCACATAAAAACTAGACAAAAGATTTCTTATTAAATTCTTTTTCATGTGTGCTTTCATCTAACAGAGTTGAACTTTTCTTTTGATTGAGCAGTTTGGAAACAGTGTTTTTGTAGAATTTGCAAATGGATATTAGGAACGCTTTGAGGACTATGGTGAAAAAGGAAATATCTTCACATAAAAACTAGACAGAAGCTTTTTGAGAAAACTTTTTGTGATGTTTGCATTCATCTCACATAGTTGAACATATCTGTTGATTGAGCAGTTTGGAAACCGTCTTTTTGTACAATCTGCAAAGGGACATTTCTGATCATTTTGAGGCCTATGGTGAAAAAGAAATATCTTCACATAAAAAAGCTAGACAGAAGCATTCTGAGAAACTTCTTTCTATGAGTGCATTCATTTCACAGATGTGAACCTTTCTTTTAATTGAGCAGTTCAGAAACCGTCTTTTTGTACAATCTCCAAAGAGATATTTCTCAGCGGTTTGAGATGTATGGTGAATAAGAAATATCTTCAGATAAAAACAAGACAGAAACATTCTGACAAACTTCTTTGTGATTTGAGCATTCATCTCACAGAGTTGAACGTTCCTTTTGATTGAGCATTTTGGAAACAGTTTTTTTTAATTTTACTTTAAGTTTTAGGGTACATGTGCACAATGTGCAGGTTAGTTACATATGTATACATGTGCCATGCTGGTGCACTGCACCCACTAACTCGTCATCTAGCATTAGGTATATCTCCCAATGCTATCCTCCCCCCCACAACAGTCCCCAGAGTGTGATATTCCCCTTCCTGTGTCCATGTGTTCTCATTGTTCAATTCCCACCTATGAGTGAGAATATGTGGTGTTTGGTTTTTTGTTCTTGCGATAGTTTACTGAGAATGATGAATTCCAATTTCATCCAGGTCCCTACAAAGGACATGAACTCATCATTTATTATGGCTGCATATACGCCATGGTGTATATGTGCCACATTTTCTTAATCCACTCTATCATTGTTGGACATTTGTGTTGGTTCTTTTTTTTGTAGTATATGCAGAGTGATATTTGTGAGAGGTTTAAGGCCTATGGTGAAAAAGGAAATATCCTCACATAAAAACTACACAGAAACTTTCTGCAAAACGTCTTTGTGATGTGTGCATTCATCTCACAGAGTTGGACCTTTCTCTTGATTGAGCAGTTTTGAAACACTCCTTTTGTAGAACCTGCAAATGGGTATTTTGTTCACTTTGACACCTATGATGAAAAAGGAGATGTCTTCACATAAAAACTAAACAGAAGCTTTCTGAGAAACTTCTTTGCGATGTGTGCATTCATTTCACAGAGTTCAACTTTTCTTTTGATTCAGCAGTTTGGAAACAGTATTTTTGTACAATCTGCAAAGGGATACTTCTTAGCCAATTTAGGCCTATTGTGAATTAGGAAATATCTTCACATAAAAAATAAATGGAAGCTTTCTGAGAAACTTCTTTGGGATGTGTGTTTTCATCTCACAGAAATGAAACTTTCTTTTGATTGAGCAATTTGGAAACTCTCTTTTTGTAGGATCTGCAAATGGATATTTGGAGTGCTTTGAGGCCTGTGGTGAAAAAGGAAATATCTTCACATAACAAACAGACAGAAGCATTCTGGGAACATCTTTGTGATGTGTGCATTCATCTCACAGAGTTGAACCTTTCTTTTGATTGAGTAGTTTGGAAACAGTCTTTGATAGTATCTGCAGAGAGATATTTGTGAGCATTTTGAGGACTTTGGTGAGAAAAGAAATATCTTCATATAAAACCTAGTCAGAAGATTCTGAGAAACTTCTTTGTGATGTGTGCATTCATCTGACACAGTTGAAACTTTGTTTTGATTGAGCAGTTTGGAAACAGTCCTTTTGTAGGATCTGCAAAGGGATATTTCTGAGCCCATTGAGACCTATGGTGAAAGAAGAAATATCTTCACTTAAAAACTAGACATAAACATTCTGAGAAACTTCTTAGTGATGTGTGCTTTCATCTCACAGGTTTAAACCTTTCTTTTGATTGAGCAGTTTGGAAACAGTCTTTTTGTAGAATCTGCAAAGGATATTTCGAGCGGTTTGACACCTATGGTGAAAAATGACATATCTTCACATGAAATCTAAACAGAAGCTTTCTGAGAAACTTCTTTTTGATGAGTTCATACATCTCACAGAGGTGAAACTTTATTTTCATTGAGCAGTTTGGAAACAGTCTTTTTGTACAGTCTGCAAAGGAAATTTCTGCGAAGTTGGAGGCCTATGGTGAAAAAGAAATATCTTCAGATAAAATGTAGACAGAAGTATTCTGAGAAAATTTTTTGTGACGTAACTATTCATCTCATAGAGTTGAACTTTTCTTTTGATGGAGCAGTCTGGAAACAGTCTTTTTGTAGTATCTGAAGAGGGATATGTGAGAGCAGTTTAAGGCCTGTGGTGAAAAAGGAAATATCTTCACATAAAAACTAGGTAGAAGTATTCTAAGAAACTTCTTTGTATTATGTGCATTCATCTCAAAGAGATGAACCTGTCTTTGGATTGAGCAGTTTGGAAACAGTCGTTTTGTAGAATCTGTGAAGGGATATTTCTGAGCCCATTGAGGTCTATGGATGAAATAGGAAATATCTTCACATAAAAACTAGACAGAGGATTTCTGAGAAACTTCTTTGTGATATGTGCTTTCATCTCACAGAGTTGAACCATTCTTTTGGTTGAGCAGTTTAGAAACAGTCTTTTTGTAGGATCTGCAAAGGGATATTTCTGTTCCCATTGATGCCTATGGTGAAAAAGGACATATCTTCACATAAAAACTAGACAGAAGCTTTCTGATAAACTTCTTAGTGATGTGTGCTTTCATGTCACAGATTTGAAACTTTCTTTTGATTGAGCAGTTTGGAAACAGTCTTTTTGTAGAATCTGCAAATGGATATTTGGAGCGCTTTGAGGCCTATGGTGATAAAGGAAATATCTTCACATGAAATATAAACAGAAGCTTTCTGAGAAACTTCTTTTTGATGCGTGCATACATCTCACAGAGTTGAACGTTTGTTTTCATTGAGCAGTTTGGAAACAGTCTTTTTGTACAATCTGGAATGGGAAATTTCTGAGAAGTTGGAGGCCTATATCGAAAAAGAAATATCTTCACATGAAAACTAGACAGAAGAATTCTGAGAAATTTCTTTGAGATGTATCCTTTCATCTCACAGAGTTGAACCTTACTTTTGATAGAGCAGTTTGGAGACAGTCTTTTTGTAGTATCTGCAGTGGGATATCTGAGAACAGTTTAAGGCCTATGATGAAAAAGGAAATATCTTCCCATAAAAACTAGGCAGAAGCATTCTGAGAAACTTCTTTGTGATGTATGCATTCAACTCAAAGAGGTGAAACTTTCTTTGGATTGAGCAGTTTGGAAACAGTCCTTTTGTAGAATCTGCAAAGGGATATTTCTCAGCCCATTGAGGCCTACGGTGAAATAGGAAATATCTTCTCATAAAAACCAGACAGAAGCTTTCTGAGAAACTTCTTTGAGATATGTGCTTTCATCTCACAGAGTTGAACCTTTCTTTTGGTTCAGAAGTTTGGAAACAGTCTTTGTGTAGAATCTGCAAAGGGCTATTTTTGAGCACCTTCTGGACTATGGTGAAACAGAAAATATCTTCACATAAAAACTAGATAGAAGCTTTCTGAGAAACTTCTTTATGATGTATTCTTTCATCTCACAGAGTTGTAACTTTCCTTTGATTGAGCAGTTTGGAAACACTCTTTATGGGGAATCTGCAAGTGGATATTTGGAGCGCTTTGTGGTCTATAGTGGAAAACGAAATATCTTCACATAAAAACTAGACAGAATCATTCTGAGAAACTTCTTTGTGATGTGCACATTCATCACAAAGAGTTGAACATTTCTTTCGATTGAGCAGTTTGGAAACAGTCCTTTTGTAGAATCTGTGAAGGGATATTTCTCAGCCCATTGATGCCTATGGATGAAATAGGAAATATTCTCACATAAAAACTAGACAGAAAATTTTTGAGAAACTTCTTTATAATATGTGGTTTCATCTCACAGAGTTGAACCGTTCTTTTGGTTGAGCAGTTTGGAAACACATTTTTTGTAGAATCTGCAAGTGGATATTTGGAGCACATTGAGGCCTATGGCGGAAAACGCTATATTTTCACATAAAAATTACACAGAAGCATTCTGAGAAACTTCTTTGTTATGTGTGCATTCAACCCACAGAGTTCAACCTTTCTTTTCATTCAGCAGTTTTGAAACACTCTTTTTGTAAAATCTGCCAGTGGATTTTTGGAGCGCTTTGAGGCCTACAGTGGAAAAGGAAATATCTTCACATAAATAGTACACAGAAGCATTCTGAGAAACTTCTTTGTGACGTGTGCAATTAATTCAAAGAGTGGAATCCTTCTTTTGATTGAGCAGTTTTGAAAGACTCCTTTTGTAGAATCTGCAAGTGGATATTTGGAGTGCTATGTGGCCCTAAGTGGAAAAGGCAATATCTTCACATAAAAACTAGACAACAGCATTCTGAGAAACTTCTTTGTGATGTGGGCATTCATCTCATAGAGTTGAAGCTTTATTTTGATTGAGCAGTTTTGATCCACTCTTTTTGTAGAATCTCCAATTGGATATTGGAGCGCTTTGGGGCCTATGGTGGAAAAGGAAATATCTTCACATGAAAACTAGACAGAAGCATTCTGAGAAATTGGTTTGTGATGTGTGCATTCAACACACAGAGTTGAACCTTTCTTTTGATTGAGCAGTTTTGAAAAACACTTTTTTTAGGATCTGCAAGTGGATATTTGGAGTGCTTTGTGGTCTACTGCGGAAAAGGATATATCTTCACATAAAAACTACGGAGAAGCATGCTGAGAAACTTATTTGTGATGTGTGCATTCATCTCACAGAGTTCAATCTTTCTTTTGATTGAGCAGTTTTGAACCACTCTTTTTGTAGAGTGAGCAAGTGGATATTTGGAGCACTTTGAGGCTTATGGTGGGAAAGGAAATATCTTCACATAAGAACTACAGAGAAGCATTCTGACAAAGTTCTTTGTGTTGCGTGTGTTCAACTCACAGAGTTGAACCTTTCTTTTGATTGAGCAGTTTTGAAACGCTCTTTCTTTTTTTAGAATCTGCAAGTGGTTGCAGCCTCTGTTGGAAAAGGAAATATCTTCACATAAACTAGACAGAAGCATTCTGTGAAACTTCCTTGTGATGTGTGCATTCATCTCACAGAGTTGAAACTTTCTTTTGATTGTGAAGTTTTCAAACACTCTTTTTGTGCAATCTGCAAGTGGATATTTGGAGGCCTTTGTGGCCTACAGGGGAAAAGGAAATATCTTCACATAAAAACTAGACAGAAGCATTCTGAGAAACATCTTTGTGATATGTGCATTCATCTCACAGAGTTGAAATTTTCTTTTTATTGACCAGTTTTGAAACACTCTTTTTGTACAGTCTGCAAGTGGATTATTGAAGTGCTTTGAGGCCTATGGTGGAAAATAAAATATTTTCACAATAAAATTAGACAGAAGCATTCTGTGATACTTCTTTGTGATGTGTGCATTCATCTCACAGAGTTGAACCATTCTTTTGATTGAGCAGTTTTGAAATACTCTTTTTGTAGAATCTGCAAGTGGATATTAGGAGCAATATGTGGCCTATGGTGGAAAAGGAAATATCTTCACATAAAAACTAAAGAGAAGCATTCTCCGCTACTTCTTTGTTTTGTGCACATTCTTCTCACAGAGTTGAACCATTCTTTTGATTTAGTAGTTTTGTATTTCTCTTTTTGTACAATCTGCAAATGGATATTGGAGCGCTTTGAGTCCTATGTTGGAAAAGCAAATATCTTCACATAAAAACTACAGAGAAGCATTCTGAGAAACTTCTTTGTGATGTGTGCATTCAACTCACAGTGTTCAACATTTCTTTTGATTGAGCAGTTTTGAAACACTCTTTTTGAAAATCTGCCAGTGGATATTTGGAGTGCTTTGAGGCCTATAGTGGAAAAGGAAATAAATATCTTTACATAAATAGTAGACAGAAGCATTCTGAGAAACTTCTTTGTGACGTGTGCATTCAACTCACAGAATGGAACCCTTCTTTTGATAGAGCAGTTTTGAAAGATTCCTTTTGTAGAACCTGCAATTGGATATTTGGAGCGCTATGTGGCCTTAAGTGGAAAAGGCAATATCTTCGCAGAAAAAATTAGACAGAAAAATTCTGAGAAATTTCTTTGTGATGTGTATATTCATCTCACAGAGTTGAAACTTTCTTTTGATTGAGCAGTTTTGAAACACTCTTTTTGTAGAATCTGCAAGTGGATATTTGGAGCACTTTGCAGTCTATAGTGGAAAGGGAAATATCTTCACATAAATATTTGTCGGAAGCATTCTGAGAAACTTCTTCTTGATATGTGCATTCGTCTCACACAGTTGAATCTTTCTTTTGATTGAGCAGTTTTGAAACACTCTTTTTGTAGTATCTGCAAAGGGATACCTGGAGCGGTTTGAGTTCTATGGTGTAAAAGGAAATATCTTCACCTAAAAACTAGAGAGAAGCATTCTGAGAAACTTCTTTGTGGTGTGTGCATTCATATCATTGTCTTGATCCATTCTTTTGACTGAACAGTTTTGAAACACTCTTTGTGTAGAATCTGCAAGTGGATATTTGGAGCACTTTGAGGCCTATTGTGGAAAAGGAAATGTCTTCACATAAAGACTAGACAGAAGCATACTGAGAAACTTATTTGTGATGCGTGCATTCATCCACTTAGCTGAAGCTTTCTTTTGATTGAGCAGTTTTGAAACACTCTTTTTATAGAGTGTGCAAGTGGATATTTGGAGCGCTTTGATGCTTATGGTGGTAAAGCAAATATCTTCACATAAAACTACAGAGAAGCATTCTGACAAAGTTCTTTGTGCTGTGTGCATTCAACTCACAGAGTTGAACCTTTCTTTTGATTGAGCAGTTCTGAAACACTCTTTTTGTAGAATCTGCAAGTGGATATTTGGAGCGCTGTATGGCCTCTGGTGGAAAAGTAAATATCTTCAATAAAAACTAGAGAGAAGCATTCTGAGAAACTTCTTCATGAAGTCTGCATTCATCTCACAGAGTTGAACCTTTCTTTTAATTGAGCAGTTCTGCAACACTCTTTTTGTAGAATCTGCAAGTGGATATGTGGAGCACTTTGAGGCCATGAGAGAAAAGGAAATATCTTCACATAAGAACTAGACAGAATCATTCTAAGATACTTCTTTGTGATGTGCACATTCAACTCACAGAGTTGAACATTTCTTTTGATTGAGAAGTTTTGAAACACTCTTTTTGTAGAATCAGCAGTAGGATATTTAGAGCGCTTTGAGGCCTATGGTGGAAAAGGAAATATCTTCACATAAAAACTAGAAAGAAGCATTCTGAGAAACTTTTTTGTGATGTGTGCATTCAACTCACCGAGTTGAACGTGTCTTTTTATTGAGCAGTTTGGATACATTCTTTTCATACCATCTTCAAATTTGTATTTGGAGAGCTTTGAGGCCTATAGTGGAAAAGGAAATATCTGCACATAAGAACTAGACAGAACCATTCGGAGAAACTTCTTTGTGATGTGTGCATTCATCTCACAGAGTTCAACCATTCTTTTGATTGAGCAGTTTTGAAACACTCTCTTTTTAGAATCTGCAAGTGGATATTTTGATCTCTTTGAGGCATATGGTGGAAAAGAATATATCTTCCAATAAAAACTAGCCAGAAGCATTCTGAGAAACTTCTTTGTGATGTGTGTATTCAACTCAGAGTTCAACCTTTATTCTGATTAAGCAGTTTTGAAACAGACTTTTTGTAGAATCTGCAATTGGATATTTGGAGCGCTTTTCGGCCTCTTGTGGAAAAGGAAATATCTTCACATAAAAACTACAGGGAATCATTTTGAGGAACTTCTTTGTGATTTGTGCTTTCAGCTCGCAAAGTTGAGACTTTCTTTTTATTGAGCAGTTTTGAAACACTCTTTTTGGAGAATCTGCAAGTGGATATTTAGAGTGCTTTGACGCCTATGGTGGAAAAGGAAATATCTGCACATGAAAAATAGACAGAAGCATTCTGAGAAACTTCTTTGTGCTGTGTGCATTTATCTCATAGAGTTGAACTTTCTTTTTGTTGAGCAGTTTGGAAACACTCTTTTTGTAGAGTCTGCCATTGGATATTTGGAGCGCTTTGAATCCTATGGTGGAAAAGGACATATCTTCACATAAGAACTATAAAGCAGGTTTTCTAAAATCAACCTTGTGATGTGTGCATTCATCTCACAGAGGTAAGTGTTTCTTTTCTCCAATCAGTCTGGAAAACTCTGTTCTTGTACAATCTCAAAGGGGGTATTTTTGCGCACTATGAGGCCTATTGTGACAAAGGAAATATCTTCACATTCAAAGTATAAAGAAAGTTTCTGAGATACTTCTTTGTGATATGTGCATTCATCTCACAGATTTCAACATCTCTTTTAATTCAGCCATTTGGAAACAGTCTTTTTGAAGAATCTGCAAACGGATATTTGTGAGCACTTTGGGGCTTATGCAGGAAAAGAAGTATCTTCATAGAAAACTATAAAGAAGGTTTCTGAGAAACTGTTTTTTGATGTCTGCATTCATCTCACAGAGGTAAATGATTCTTTTCTTTGATCAGTTGGGAAACTCTGTTCTTGTAGGATCTGCTAAGGGACATTTTTGAGTGCCTAGGGACCTATGGTGAAAAAGATATTGTCTTCACATAAAAACTAGACAGAAGCCTACTGAGAAACTTCTTGGTGATGTGTGCATTCATCTCACAGAATTGTAACTTTCTTTTGATTGAGCAGTTTAGAAATGTCTTTTTGTGGAATCTGTAAAGGGATATTTCTGATCACTTTGAGGCCTATGGTGAAAGATAAAGTATCGCCTACTGAGAAACTTCTTGGTTATGTGTGCATGCATCTCACAGAATTGAAACTTTCTTTTGATTAAGCAGTTTGGAAACGTCTTTTTGTGGAATCTGTAAAGGGATATTTCTGAACACTTTGAGGCCTATGGTGAAAGAGAAAGTATCTTCACATAAAAACTAGATTAAAGATTTCTGAGAAACTACTTTGTGATGTATGCATTCATCTCACAGAGTTCAACAATTCTTTTGATTGAGCAGTTGGGAAACCATGTGGTAGAATCTGCAAATGGATATTTGTGATGCTTTGAAGCCTATGGTGAAAACGAAATATTTTCACATGAAAACTAGAGAGAAGCTTTCTGAGAAACCTCCTTGTGATGTGTGCATTCATCTCACAGATTTGAAACTTTCTTTGGATTGAGAAATTTGGAAACAGTATTTTTGTAGAATCTGTAAGGGCATATTTTTGAGAGCTATGAGGCCTATGATGAAATAGGAAACATCTTCACATAAAAACTAGACAGAAGTTTTCGGAGAAACTTCTTTGTGATGTGTGCATTCATCTCGTAGAGTTCAACCATTCTTTTGATTGAACAGTTTGGAAACAGTCTTCTTGTAGAATCTGCAAAGGGATATTTGTGAGTGCTTTGAGGCCTATGGTGGAAAAGGAAATGTATTCACATAAAAAGTATAAACAAGGTTTCTCAGAAACAGCTTTATGATGTATGCATTCATCTCACAGAAGTAAACTTTTCTTTTCCCTGATCTGTCTGGAAACTGTTCTTGTAGATTCTGCAAAGGGATATTTGTGAGTGCGTTGAGGTCTAGGGTGAAAAAGGAAATATCTTCACATAAAAATTAGAGAGAGGCTTTCTGAGAAACTTCTTTGTGATGTGGGCATTCATCTCACAAAGTTGAAACTTACTTTTGATTGAGTAGTATGGAAACCATCTGTTTGTGGAATCTGCAAAGGGATATTTATGAGAGCTTTGAGCCCAATGGTGAAAAAGGAAATATATTCATATAAAAGGTATAAAGAAGGTTTCTTAGAAACAGCTTTGTGGCGTGTGCATTGATCTCAGAGTGGTAAACGTTTATTTTCTATGATCAGTCGGGAAACTATTTTGTACAATCTGCAAAGGGATATTTGTGAATGCTTTGAGGCCTATGGTGAAAAAGGAAATATCTTCACATAAAAACTAGACAGAAGCTTTCCTAGTGGCTTCTTTGTCATGTGTGCAATCATCTCACAGAGTTGAACCATTCTTTTGATTGAGCAGTCTGGAAACAGTCTTTTGTAGAATCTGCAAGGGATATTTGTCGTGACATGGAGTGCTATGGTGAAAAAGGAAATATCTTCACATAAAAAATGGACAGAAGATTTCTGAGAAACCATCTTGTGATGTGTGCATCCATCTCACATAGTTCAAACATTTATTTGATTGAGCAGTTGGGAAGTAGTCTTTTTGCAGAATCTACAAAGGGATATTGCTGAGCACTTTGAGGCCTGTGGTGGAAAAGGAAATATCTTCACATAAAAACTATAAAGAAGGTTTCTGAGAAACTTCTTTGTGATGTATGCATTCATCTCATGGAGTTGAACTATTCTTTTGATTGAGCACTTTGGAAATAATCTTTTTGTAGAATCTGCAAAGGGATATTTTTGAGCACTTTGAGTCCTAGGGAGAAAAAAGAAATATCATCATATAAAAAGTATAAAGAAGGTTTCTGAGAAACAGTTTTGTGATGTGTGCATTCATCTCACAGAGAAAAAAGTTTGTTTTCTTTGATCAGTCTGGAAATTCTGTTCTTGTAGAATCTACTAAGGGATATTTGTGAGCAGATGGAGGTCTACGGTGAAAAAGGAAATGTCTTCATATAAAAATTAGACAGAAGCCTCCTGCAAAACTTCTTAGTGATGTGTGCATTCATCTCACAGAGTTGAAACTTTCTATTAATTGAGCCGTTTGGAAACAGTCTTTTTGTGGACTCTGCAAATGGATATTTGGAGCACTTTGAAGCCTATGGTGAAAAATGAAATATATTCACATAAAAACCAGACTGAAACTTTCTGAGAAACTTATTTGAGATGTGTGCATTCATCTCACAAAGTTCAATAATTCCTTTTATTGAGCGGTTTGGAACAAGCTTTTTGTAGAATCTGCAAAGAGATATTTGTGAGGGCTTTGAGACCTATGGTGAAAAAGGAAATATCTTCACAGGAAAGCTATAAAGAAGGTTTCTGAGAAACTTCTT
Source organism: Homo sapiens (assembly GCF_000001405.40). NCBI lineage: Eukaryota > Metazoa > Chordata > Mammalia > Primates > Hominidae > Homo > Homo sapiens. Next base: position 118,421 of record NT_187433.1, read on the forward strand.
TGTGATGTGTGCATTCATCTCACACAGTTCAACCTTTCTTTTGATTGAGCAGATTGGAAACAGTCTTTTTAAATATTCTTCATGTGGATAGTTGTGAGCACCTTGAGGCTCATGGGGAAAAAGGAAACATTCACATAAAAACTTAACAGAAGCTTTCTGAGAAACCACTTTTTGACGTGTGCATTCATCTCACAGAGTTGAATCTTTCTTTGCATGAGCAGTGTGGAAACAATCTTTTTGTAGAATCTGCAAAGGGACAATTTTGAGCACTTTGCATCCTGTGGTGGAAAAGGAGATACCTTCACATAAAAACTAGACAGAATGTTTCTCAGAAACTGCTTTGTGATATGTGCATTCATCTCCCAGATGTGTCTGTTTCTTTTCATTGAGAAGATTGGAAACTCTTTTCTTGTAAGATCTGCAAAGGGATATTTGTGAGCCCTTTGAGATGTATGGTGAAAAAGGAAATATCTTCACATGAAAACTACACAGAAGCTTTCTGAGAAACATCCTGGTGATGTGAGCATTCACCTCACAGATTTGAAACATTCTTTTGATTGAGCAATGTGTAAAGAGTCTTTTTGTAGAATCTGCAAAGGGATATTTGTGAATGCTTTGAGGCCTATGGTGAAAAAGGAAATATCTTCACATAAAAACTAGAGAGAAGCTTTCTGAGAAATCTCTTTGTGGTGTGCATACATCTCACAGAGTTGAACCTTTCTTTTGATTGAGCAATTTGGAAGAAGTATTTTTGTAGTATCTGTAAAGAGATATGGGTGAGCACTTTGAGACCTATGGGGAAAAACTAGACAGAAGCATTCTGAGAAACTGCTTCGTGATGTGTGCATTCATCACACAGAGTTGAATCTTTGTTTTGATTGAGCCATTTGGAAACAGTCTTTTTGTAGACTCTGCAAATGGATATTTGGAACACTTTGAGGCCTATCGTGAAAAAGGAAATATATTCACATAAAAACTAGACTGAAGGATTCTGAGAAACTTCTTTGAGCTGTGTGCATTCATCTGACAGTGTTCAATAATTCTTTTTATTGAGCAGTTTGGAAACAGTCTTTTTGTAGAATCTGCAAAGGGATATTTGTGAGGGCTTTGAGGCCTATGTTGAAAAAGGAAATATCTTCACAGAAAAACCATAAAGAAAGTTTCTGAGAAACTTCTTTGGATGTGTGCATTCATCACACAGAGTTGAAACATTCTTTGGATTAAGCAGTTTGCAAGCAGTCCTTTTGTAGAATCTGCAGTGGGATATTTGTAGTGCTTTGAGGCCTATGGTGAATAAGGAAATATCTTCACATAAAAACTAGACAAAAGTTTTCTGAGAAACTTTTTGTGATGTGTGCATTTATCTCATAGAGTTTAACATTTGTTTTGATTGAGCAGTTTGGAAACAGTCTTTTTGTAGAATCTGCAAAGGGATATTTAGGAGCAAGTTGAGGCCTATGGTGGAAAAGGAAATATCTTCACATAAAAACTAGAAAGAAGCATTCTGAGAAGCTGCTTTAAGATATGTGTACTCATCTCACAGAGGTAAACATTTCTTTTCATTGAGCAGTTTGTAAACTCTGTTATTCTAGAGTCTGCAAAGGGATATTTTTGAGTGCTTTGAGACCCACGTTGAAAAAGGAAGTATCTTCACATAAAAACTAGTGAGAAGTTTGCTGAGAAACTACTTTCTGATGTGTGCAGTCATCTAACAGTGTTGAAACTTTCTTTTGATTGAGCAGTTTGGAAACAGTCTTTTTGTAGACTCTGCAAAGGTATATTTGGGAGTGCAT
>NT_187433.1:120361-123709 GCF_000001405.40 Homo sapiens
AATATCTTCACATTAAAAGTAGAAAGAAGTTTTCTGAGTAACTCCTTTGTGACATGTGCATTTATCACACAGAAGTAAAAATTTCTTCCCATTGAGCAGTTAGTTTTTATGTGAAGATATTTCCGTTTTCGCCATAGACCTCAAACCGCCTACATATATCCCTTTGCAGATTCTACAAAAAGAGTGTTTCCAAACTACTCAATCAAAGAAAGCTTCCACTCTGTGAGATGAATGCACACATCACAGAGAAGTTTCTCAGAAAGTTTCTGTCTAGTTTTTATTTGTTGGTACTCCCTTTTTCACCATAGACCTCAAACCGCTCATAAATAACCCTTTGCAGATTCTACAAAAAGACTGTTTCCAAACTACTCAATCAAAAGAAAGCTTCAACTCTGTGAGGTGAATGCACACATCACAAAGAAGTTTCTCAGAAAGCTTCTGTCTAGTTTTTATTTGAAGTTGTTTCCTTTTTCAATATAGGCCTCAAAGTGCTCACAAATGTCCCTTTACAGATTTTACAAAAAGACTGTTACCAAACTGCTCAACTGAAACAAAGCTTCAACTCTTTGAGATGAATGCACACATCACAAAGAAGTTTCTCAGAAAGTTTCCGTCCAGTTTTTCTGTGAAGATATTTCCTTTTTCAACATAAGTCTCAAAGCATTCAAATCATCACTTTGCAGATTCTACAAAAAGACATTTTCTAACCTGCTCTATCTAAAGAAAGGTTTAACTCTGTGAGAAGAATGCACATATCAAAAATAAGTTTCTCAGAATGTTTCTGTCTAGTTTTTATCTGAAGACATTACCTTTTTCACCATAGACCAAAAAGGGATCCCAAATATCCCTTTGTACATTCTACAAAGGACTGTTTCCAAACTGCTCAATCCAAAGACAGGTTCAACTTTTGGAATGAATGCACACATCACATCGAAGTTTCTCAGAAAGCTTCTGTCTAGTTTTTGTGTGAAGATATTTCTTTTTTCACCATAGGCTTCAAAGGGCTCACAAATATCGCAAAGCAGATTCTACAAAAAGACTCTATCCAAACTGGTCAAGGAAAAGAACACTTCAAATCTGTGAGATGAATGTGCACATCTCAAAGAATTTTCTCAGAAAGCTTCTGTCTAGTTTTTATGTGAAGATATTTCTATTTTCACCATAGACCTGAAACCGCCTATATATAACCCTTTGCAGATTCTACAAAAAGACTGTTTCCAAACTGCTCAAAGAAAGTTTCTACTCTGTGAGATGAATGCACACATCACAAAGAAGTTTCTCAGAACCTTTTTGTCTAGTTTTTATGTGAAGATACTCTTTTTCACCATAAGCCTGAAAGCGTTCCCAAATTTTCCTTTTCAGATTCTATGAAAAGACTGTTTCCAAACTGCTCAATCAAAAGAAAGGTTCAATTCTGTGTGATGAATGCACACATCACAACGAAGTTTTTCAGAAGGCTTCTGTCTAGATTGTATTTGTGGATATTTCCTTTTTCACAACAGGCCTCAGAAAGCTCACAAATATCACTTTGCCTATTCTACAAAAAGACTGTTTCCAATCTGCTCAATGAAAGAAAATTCAACTCTGTGAGATGAATGCATGCATCACAAAGTGGTTTCTCAGAATGCTTCTGCCTAGTTTTTATATGAAGATATTTCCTTTTTCATCACATGTCTCAAACCACTCAAAAACATCCCTTTGCAGATTCTCCAAAAAGACCGTTTCCAAACTGCTCAATCAAAAGAAAGATTCCAGTCTTTGAGATGCATACACCCATCACAAAGAAGTTTCCCAGAAAACATGAGTCTAGTTTTAATGTGAAGATATTTCCTTTTTCACCATAAGCCTCAAAGCATTCACAAATATCACTTTACAGGTTCTACAAAAAGACTGTTTCCAAACTGCCCAATCAAAAGAAAGGTTCAACTCTGTGAGATGAATGCACACATCACAAAGAAGTTTCACAGATAGCTCTTATTATTTTGAGATACGTCCCATCAATACCTAATTTATTGAGAGCTTTTAGCATGAAGGGTTGTTGAATTTTGTAAAGGCCTTTTCTGCATCTATTGAGATAATCATGTGGTTTTTGTCTTTGGTTCTGTTTATATGCTGGATTACATTTTTTGATTTGCATATATTGAACCAGCCTTGCATCCCAGGGATGAAGCCCACTTGTTCATGGTGGATAAGCTTTTTGATGTGCTGCTGGATTCGGTTTGCCAGTATTTTATTGAGGATTTTTGCATCAATGTTCATCAAGGATATTGGTCTAAAATTCTCTTTTTTTATTGTGTCTCTGCCCAGCTTTTGTATCATGATCATGCTGGCTTCATAAAATGAGTTAGGGAGGATTCCCTCTTTTTCTATTGATTGGAATAGTTTCAGAAGGAATGGTACCAGTTCCTCCTTGTACCTCTGGTAGAATTCGGCTGTGAATCCATCTGGTCCTGGACTCTTTTTGGTTGGTAAGCTATGGATTATTCCCACAATTTCAGAGCCTGTTATTGGTCTATTCAGAGATTCAACTTCTTCCTGGTTTAGTCTTGAGAGGGTGTATATGTCGAAGAATTTATCCATTTCTTCTAGATTTTCTAGTTTATTTGCATAGAGGTGTTTGTAGTATTCTCTGATGGTAGTTTGAATTTCTGTGAGATCGGTGGTGATATGCCCCTTATCATTTTTTATTGCATTTGATTCTTCTCTTTTTTCTTCTTTGTTAGTCTTGCTAGCGGTCTATCAATTTTGTTGATCCTTTCAAAAAACCAGCTCCTGGATTCATTAATTTTTTGAAGGGTTTTTTGTGTCTCTATTTCTTTCAGTTCTGACCTGATTTTAGTTATTTCCTGCCTTCTGCTAGCTTTTGAATGTGTTTGCTCTTGCTTTTCTAGTTCTTTTAATTGTGATGTTAGGGTGTCAATTTTGGATCTTTCTTGCTTTCTCCTGTGGGCATTTAGTGCTATAAATTTCTCTCTAAACACTGCTTTGAATGTGTCCCAGAGATTCTGGTATGTTGTGTCTCTGTTCTCATTGGTTTCATGCTGCTATAAAGACACATGCATGTGTATGTTTATTGTGGCACTATTCACAATAGCAAAGACTTGGAACCAACCCAAATGTCCAACAATGATAGACTGGATTAAGAAAATGTGACACATATACACTATGTAATACTATGGAGCCATAAAAAATGATGAGTTCATATCCTTTGTAGGGACATGGATGAAATTGGAAATCATCATTCTCAGTAAACTATCACAAGGACAAAAAACCAAACACCACATGTTCTCATTCATAGGTGAGATTTGAACAACGAGAACACATGGACACAGCAAGGGGAACATCACA
>NT_187433.1:123794-138126 GCF_000001405.40 Homo sapiens
AGTGCACCAAATATATTTTGCAGATTGTACAAAAAGAGTTTTTCCAAACTGCTCAATCAAAAGAAAGGTTCAAATCTGTGAGATGAAAGCACAAATCACAAAGAAGTTACTCAGAATGCTTCTGTCTTGTTTTTAAGTGAAGGTATTTCCTTTTACACCATGGGCCTCAAAGGGCTCACAAATATCCTTTTGCAGATTCTACAAAAAGACTGTTACAGAACTGCTCAATGAAAAGTAAGTTTCAACTCTGAGAGATGAATTCACACCTAAAAAAGAAGTTTCTCAGAATGCTTCTGTCTAGTTTTTATGTGAAGATATTTCTTTGTCACCATAGACCTCAAACCGCTCAGAAATATCCCTATGCAGATGTTACAAAAAAACTGTTTCCAAACTGCTCAATGAAAAGAAAGATTCTACTCTGTGAAATGAAAGCACACATCACAAAGAATTTTCTCAGAAAATTTTTGTCTAGCTTATATGTGAAGATATTTCCTCTTTCTGCGTAGGCCTCAATGGGCTCAAAAATATCTCTTTTCAGATACTACAAAAGGCCTCTTTCCAAACTGCTCAATCAGAAGAAAGTTTCAACTCTGTGAGATGAAGGCACACATCACAAATAAGTTTCTCAGAATGTTTTTCTAGTCTTTATGTGAAGATATTTCCTATTTCACCATAGGCCATAAATGTCTCAAAAATATCCCTTTGCAGACTCTACAAAAAGCCTGTTTCCAAACAGCTCAATCAAAACAAAGTTTGAACTCTGTGAGATGAATGGACACATCACAAAGAAGTTTCTCAGAAGGCTTCTGCCTAGTTTTTATGTGAAGATATGACTTTTTCACCATAGGCCTCAAACGGCTAAGAAATATCCCTTTGCAGATTGTACAAAAAGACTGTTTCCAAATTGCTCAATGAAAAGACAGGTTCAATTCTGTGAGATGAATGCGCATATCATAAAGAAGTTTCTCAGAATGCCTCTGTCTAGGTATTATGTGAAGATATTTCCTTTTTCACCATAGTCCTTAAATGGCTCCCAAATATCCCTCTGCAGATACTACAAAAAGGCTGCTTGAAAACTGTTCAATCAAAGGAAACCTTCATCTCTGTGAGATGAAACCACACATCAGAAACGAGTTCCTCATAATGCTTCTGTCTGGTTTTTATGTGAAGATATTTCATATTTCACCATAGGCCTCAAAGAGCTCACAAATATCCATTTGCAGACTCTACAAAAAGACTGTTTTCGAACTGCTCCACACAAAGAAAGGTTCAACTCTGTGAGACGAATGCACACATAAAAAAGAAGTTTCTCAGAATGCTTCTGTCTAGTTTTTTTGTGAAGATATTTCTTTTTCACCATAGGCATCAAACCATTCAGAAGTATCCCTTTGTAGATTGTACAAAAAGACAGCTTCCAAACTGCTCAATCAAAAGAAGGGTTCAAACCTGTGAGATGAAAGCACACATCACAAAGAAGTTTCTCAGAATGCTTCTGTCTAGTTTTTAAGTGAGGATATTTTTTTTTCACCATAGGACTCAAACCCCTCAGAAATATCCCTTTGCAGATTGTAGATAAAGACTGTTCCCTAACTGCTCAATCAAAAGAACAGTTCAACTCTGTGAGATGAAAACACACATCACAAAGAAGTTTCTCAGAAATTGTCTAGTTTTTATGTGAAGATATTTCCGTTCTAACGATAGGCCTCAAAGCAATCCAAATATTGATTTGCAGATTCTACAAAAGACTGCTTCCAAACTGCTTAATCAAAAGAAATTTTCAACTCTGTGAGATGAAAACACACATCACAAAGAAGTTCTTCAGAAAGTTTCTCACTAGATTTTATGTGAAGATATTTAGTTTTTCACCACAAGCCACAAAGTGCTCCAAATATCCATTTGCAGATACTTCAAAAAGAGTTTTTCCAAACTACTCAATCAAAAGAAAGTTTCAACTCTGTGAGATGAATGCAAAGGTCACAAAGAAGTTTCTCAGAATGCTTCTGTCCAGTTTTTCTGTGAAGATATTTCCCATTTCACCATGGGCCTCAGTGGGCTCACATATATCCTTTTGCAAATTCTACAAAAAGATTGTTTCCGAATTTCTCAATGGAAAGAAAGGTTCAATTCTGGGAGATGAATGCACACATGAATAAGAAGTTTCTCAGAATGCCTCTGTCTAGTTTTTAGGTTAAGATATTTGTTTTTCACCGTAGGCCTCTAACTGCTCAGAAATATCCCTTTGCAGATTGTACAAAAAGATGGTTTCCAAACTGCTCAATGAAAACAAAGGTTCAACACTGTGAGAATAATACTCATATCACAGAGAAGATTTTCAGAAAGCTTCTGTTTAGTTTTTAAGTGAAAATATTTCCTTTTTCACCATAGGCCTCAAAGCACTCCAAATATCCTTTTGCAAACCCTACAAAAAGAGAGTTTCCAAACTGTTCAATTAAAAGAAAGATTCAAATCTGTGAGAAGAAAGTACACATCAAGAAGAAGTTTCTCATAATGCTTCTGTCTCCTTTTTTTGTGAAGATATTTCTTATATGACCATAGGCCTCAAAGGTCTCTCAAATATCCTTTTGCAGATTATACAAAAAGACAGTTTTAGAACTGCTAAATGAAAAGAAAGATTCAACTCTGTGAGATGAATGCACACATAATAAATTAGTTTATCATAATGCTTCTGTCTAGTTTTTATGTGAAGATATTTCTTTTTCACCATAGGCATCAAACCGTTCAGAAATATCCCTTTGTAGATTGTACAAAAAGACTGTTTCCAAATTGCTCAATCAAAAGAAAGGTTCAAACTGGTTAGATGAATGCACACATAACAGAGGAGTTTCTCAGAAATCTTTTTTTTTTATTTTCAACACTTTATTTTATTTTTTTTAAAGTAAGTTTTTTTTATTTATTATTATTATAGTGTAAGTTTATGGTACATGTGCACAATGTGAAGGTTAGTTACATATGTATACATGTGCCATGCTGGTGTGCTGCACCCACTAACTCGTCATGTAGCATTAGGTATATCTCCCAATGCTATCCCTCCCCCCTCCCCCCACCCCATAACTGTCCCCAGAGTGTGATGTTCTCCTTCCTGTGTCCATGTGTTGCTCTCATTGTTCAATTCCCACTTATGAGAGAGAATATGCTGTGTTTGGTTTTTGGTTCTTGCGATAGTTTACTGAGAATGATGATTTCCAATTTCATCCATGTCCCTACAAAGGGCATGAACTCATCATTTTTTATGGCTGCATAGTATTCCATGGTATATATGTGCCACATTTTCTTAATCCAGTCTTCTGTCTTGTTTTTAGTGAACATATTACCTTTCTCAACATAGGCCTCAAAGCAATCCAAACATCCATTTGCAGATTCTACAAAAAGACTGTTTCCAAACTGATCAATCAAAACAAATTTTTACCTCTCTGAGATGAAAACACACATCACAAAAAAGTTATTCAGACAGCTTCTCTCTAGTTTGTATGTGAAGATAATTCCTATTTTACCTGAGGCCATAAAGGGCTCCCAAATTTCCCTTTGAAGTTTCTACAAAAAGACTGTTTCCAAACTGCTCAATCAAAAGAAACTTTCAACTCTGTGAGATGAATGGACACATCGCAAAGAAATTTCTTGGAATGATTCTGTCTAGTTTTTATGTGAAGATATTTCTCTTTCACCATAGGCCTCAAATGGATCAGAATTATCCCTTTGCAGATTGTACAATAAGCCTCTTTCCAACCTGCTCAATCATAAGATACGTTCAACTCTGTGAGATGAATGCACACATCACAAGGAAGTTTCTCAGAAAGCTTCTGTTTACTTTTTATGTGAAGAAATTTTGTTTTTCACCATGGCCCTCAATAGCGCTCAAAATATCCATTTGCAGATTCTAGAAAAAGAGTGTTTCCAAACTCCTCAATCAAAAGAAAGTTTCAATTCTGTGAGACGAAAGCACACATCACAAAAAGTTTCTTAGAAAGCTTCTGTCTAGTTTTTGTGTGAAGATATTTCACATTGCACCATAGTGCTCAACGTGCTCAGAAATATCCCTTTGCAGATTCTACAAAAGGACTGTTTCCAAACTGCTCAATCCAAAGAAAGTTTCAACTATGTGAGATGAATGCATACATCACAAAGAAGTTTCTCAGAATGCTTCTGTCTAGTTTACATGTGAAGAAAATTCCTATTTCACCATAGGCAATAAAGGGCTCACAAATATTTTTTACAGATTCTACAAAAATACTGCATCCAAACTGCTAAATAAAAAGAAAGTTTCAACTCTGTTAGATTAATGGACACATCAAAAATTAATTTCTCAGAAAACTTCTGTTTAGTTTTTATGTGAGGATATTTCCTTTGTCACCATTGCCCTCAAAACACTCCTAATATCCATTCACAGATATCACAAAAAGAGTGTTTCCAAACTGCTCAATCAAAAGAAAGTTTTAACTCTGTGAGATGAAAGCACACATCTCAAAGAACTTTCTCAGAAAACTTCGGTCTAGTTTCCATGTGAAGATATTTCCAGTTTCACCATAGGCCTCAAAGGGCTAAGAAATATCCCTTTCCAGATTCTAAAAGATGACCATTTCCATACTGCTCAATCAAAAGAAAGCTTAAATTCTGTGAGGTGAATGCACACATCAGAATGAAGTTTCTCAGAATTCTCCTGTCTAGTTTTTATGTGAAGATATTTACTATTTCACTATAGGCTTCAAATGTCTCAAAAATATCCCTTTGCAGGTTCTACAAAAATATGGTTTCCAAAGTGCTGAATTAAAAGAAACCTTCAACTCTGTCAGATGAATGGAGACATCACAAAGAAGTTACTCAGAATGCTTCTGTCTAGTTTAAATGTGAAGATATTTCTTTTTCACCATAGACCTCAAATGGCTCAGAAATATACCTTTGCAGAATGCAGAAAAAGACTGTTTCTAAACTGCTCAAACAAAATAAAGTTTCAACACGGTGAGATGAATGCACACATCACAAAGAAGTTTCTCAGAAATCTTCTGTCTAGCTTTTATCTCAAGATAATTCCTATTTTGCCATAGGAATCAATGGGCTCACAAATATCACTTTGCAGATTCTACAAAAGTTCTGTTTCCAAGCTGCTCAATCAAAAGAAACGTTCAAGATTGTGAGATGAATGCACACATCACAAAGAAGTTTCTCAGAATGCTTCTGTCTGGTTATTATGTGAAGATATTTCCTTTTTCACCATGGGCCTCAAAGCACTCCAAATATCCACTTGCAGATTCTACACAAAGAGTGTTTTCAAACTGCTCAATGAAAAGAAAGGTTCAACTCTGTGAGATGAAAGCACACTTCATAAAGGTGTTTCTTAGAAACCTTCTATCTAGTTTTTATGTGAAGATATTTCATATTTCAAAATAGGTCTCAATGGGCTCAGAAGTATACTCTTGCAGATGCTACAAAAAGAGTGTTTCCAAAAAGCTCAATCAAAAGAAAGGTTTAACACTGTAAGATAAATGTGCATATTACAAAGAAGTCTCTCAGAATGCTTCTGTATTGTTTTTTTGAGAAGCCACTTTTTTTTCACTATAAGCCTCAGTCCGCTCACTAATAGCCCTCTGCAGATACTACAAAAGACTCTTTCCAAACTGCTCAATCAAAATAAAGGTTCAAATCTGTGAGATGAAAGCCCACTTCACAAAGACGTTTCTCAGAAAGTTTCTGTCTAGTTTTTATGTGAAGATATTTCCTATTCCACCTTAGGCCTCAAAGGGATGGCAAATATCCCTATTCAGATTCTACAAAAAACTGTTTCCTAACTGCTTCATCAAAAGAAAGGTTCAACTCTGTGAGATCAATGCACACATAAAAAGTTAGTTTCTCAGAATGCTTCTGTCTAGTTTTCATGTGAAGATATTACCTTTTCACCATAGGTCTCATACCCCAAAAAATATTCCTTTGCAGATTGCAAAAAAAGTATGTTTCCACACTGCTCAATGAACAGAAAGGTTCAACTCAGTGAGATGAATGCAAACATCACAAAGAGTTTTCTCAAAATGCTTCTGTCTAGGTTTTAGGTGAAGATATTTACTTTTTCACCATAGGCCTCAAACCACTCACAAATATCCCTTTGCAGATTCTACAAAACGACTTGTTGCCAAACTGCTCTATGAAAAGCAAGGTCCAAATCTGTGAGATGAAAGCACACATCACAAAAAAGTTTCTCAGAAAGTTTCTGTCTACTTTTTAAATGCAGATATTTTCTTTTTCACTATAGGCCTCAAAGCACTCCAAATATCCATTTGCAAGTTCTACAAAAAGAGTGTTTCCAAACTGCTCAATCAAAAGAGAGGTTCAACTCTGTGTGGTGAAAGCACACAACACAAAGAAGTTTTACAGAAAGCTTCTGTCTAGTTTTTATGTGAAGACATTTCCTATTTCACCATAGGCCCCAATGGGCTCACAAACATCCCTTTGCAGATTCTACAAAAGAACTCTTTCCAAACTGCTCAATCCATGGGAAGTTTCAACTCTGTGACATGAATGCACACATCACAAAGAAGTTTCTCAGAATGCTTCTGTCTAGTTTTTATGTGAAGAAATTTCCTGTTCACCATAGGCCTGAAACGCTGCAAATATCCATCTTCAGATTCTACAAAAAGAATGTTTGCAAACTGCTCAATCAAAAGAAAGGTTCAACTCTGTGAGATGAAATCACACATCACAAAGAAGTTTCTCAGAAAGCTTCTGTCTAGTTTTTTTGTGAAGATATTCCCTATTTCACCCTAGGCCTGAAAGGGCTCACAAATATCCTTTTGCATATTATACAAAAAGACTGTCCCCAAACTGCTCAATCAAAAGAATGTTTCAACTCTGTGTGATGAATGCACACATTACAAAGAAGTTTCTCAGAATGCTTTTGCTAGTTTTTATATGAAGATATTTCTCTTTCATGGTAGGCCTCAAATGGCTTGGAAATATCCCTTTGCAGATTGTACAAAAAGACTGTTTCCAAACTGCTCAATCAAAAGAAAGTTTCAACATTGTGAGATGAATGCACACATCACAAAGAAGTTTCTCAGAATACTTCTGTTAAGGTTTCATGTGAAGATATTTCCTTTTTCACCATAGGCCTCAATGGGCTCAGAAGTATCACTTTGTAGATTCTACAAAAGGTCTGTTTAGAAAACTGCTCAATCCAAAGAAAGGTTCAACTCTGTGAGATGAATGCACACATCTCAAAGAAGTTTCTCACAATGGATCTGTCGAGGTTATCTGTGAAGATATATCCTTTTTAACCATAGGCCTTAAACTGCTCATGAATATCCCTCTGCAGATACTACAAAAAGACTGTTTCCAAACTGCTGCATCCAAAGAAATGTTCAACTCTGTGAGATGAATACACACATCACAAAGATGTTTCTCAGAATGCTTCTGTCTGGTTTTTGTGTGAAGATATTTCCTATTTCACCATAGGCTATAAAGGGCTCACAAATATCCGTTTGCATATTCAAAAAAATGACTGTTTCCAAACTGTTCAAGCAAAAGAAAGGTTCAACTCTCTGAGATGAATGCACACATCAGAAAGAGGTTTCTCAGAATGCTTCTGCCTGGTTTTTATGTGAAGATATTTCCTTTTTCACCATAGGACTCAGTGGGCTCAGAAATATCCCTTTGCAGATTCCACAAAAGGACTGTTTAGAAAACTGCTGAATCCAAAGAAAGATTCAACTCTGTGAGATGAATGCACACATCACAAAGAAGTTTTGCAGAATGCATCTGTCTAGTTTTTATGTGAAGATATTTCTTTTTTCACCATAGGCCTCAAAGTGTTCCAAATACCCATTTGTAGATTCTACAAAAAGAGTGTTTCCAAACTGCTCAATCAAAAGAAAGGTTCAAACCTGTGTCACGGAAGCAAACATCACAAAGAAGTCTCTCAGAAAGCTTCTGTCTATTTTTTTATGTGAAGATATTTCCTATTTCACCATGGGCCATATAGGGCTCACAAATTTTTTTTGCAAATTCTACAAAAAGACTGTTTCCAAACTGCTCAATCCAAAGAAAATTTCAACACTGTGAGATGAATGGACACACCACAAAAAAGTTTATCAGAATGCTTCTATCTACTTTTTATGTGAAGACATTTCTTTTTCACCCTAGGCTTCAATGGGCTCAGAAATATCCCTTTGCAGATTCTACAAAAGGACTCTTTCCAAACTGCTCAAAGAAAAGTTCAACTCTATGAGATGAATGCACACATCACATAGATGTTTCTCATAATCCTTCTGTCTATTTTTTACGTGAATGTATTTCCTTTTTCACCATAGGCCTCAAAGCGCTCCAAACATCCATTTGCTGATTCTGGAAAAAGACTGTTTCCAAACTGCTCAATCAAAAGAAAGGTACAACTGCGTGTGTTGGAAGCACACATCACAAAGAAGTTTCTCAGACAGCTTCTGTCTAGTTTTTCTGTGAGGATATTTCCTGCTTCACCATGGGCCATAAAGGGCTCAAAAATATTTTTTGCAGATTCTACAAAAAGACTGTTTCCAAACTGCTAAATCAAAAGAAAGTTTCAGCTCTGTGATATGAATGCAGGCATCACAAAGAAGTTTCTCAGAAAGCTTCTGTTTAGTGTTTATCTGAAGATATTTCCTTTTTCACAATAGACCTCTAAGCTCTCCAAATATGCATTTCCAGATTCTATAAAAAGTCTGTTTCCAAGCTGCTCAATGAAAAGAAAGGTTCAACTCTGTGAGATGAAAGCACATATCACAAAGAAGTTTCTCAGAATGTTTCTTTCTAGTTTTTTTGAAGATATTTCCTTTTTCACTATAGAACTCAAAGCACTCCAAATATCCATTTGCAGATTCTACAAAAAGACTGTTTACAAACTGCTCAATCAAAAGAAGTTTTCAACGCTGTGAGATAAATGCACACATTACAAAGTAGTTTCCCAGAAAACTTCTGTTTAGTTTTTATGTGAAGATATTTCCTTTTTCACCATAGGCCTCAAAACATTCCAATTATCCATTTGCAGATTATGCAAAAAGAGTGTTTCCAAACTGCTCATTCAAAAGAAACACTTAACTCTTTGAGATGAAAGGACTCATAAAAAATAAGTTTCTCAGAAAGCTTCTGTCTAGCTTTTATGTGAAGATATTTCCTATATCACCAAAGGCCTCAATCGGCTCAGAATTATCCCTTTGGGGATTCTACAATAGGAGTGTTTCCAAACTGCTCTAGCAAAGGAAAGGTTCAACTCTGTGAGATGAATGCACGCATCACAAAAAAGTTTCTCAGAAAATTTCTGTGTACTTTTTATGTGAAGATATTTCCTAGTTCACCATAGGCCTCAAATGGTTCACAATTATCCCTTTGTAGATTTTACAAAAAGACTGTTTCCAAATCTTCAATCAAAGAAATGTTCAACTGTGTGAGATGAATGCAAACCTCACAAAGAAGTTTCTCAGAATGCTTCCATCGAATTTTTATGTGATGATATTTCCTTTTTTACCATAGGCCTCAAAGCGCTCCAAATGTACATTTGCAGATTCTACAAAAAGAGTGTTTCCAAACTGCTCAATCAAAAGAAAGGTTCAACTCTGTGAGATGGAAGCACACATCACAAAGAAGTTTCTTATAAACCTTCTGTCTAGTTTTTATGGGAAGATATTTGTATTTCACCATAGGCCTCAATGGGTTCAGAAATATACCTTTGCAGATTCTACAAAAGGATTGTTTCCAAACTGCTCAACCAAAGAAAGGTTCAACACTGTGAGATGAATTCACACATCACAAAGAAGTTTCTCAGAAAGCTTCTCTCTAGTTTTTATGTGAAGATATTTCCTTGCTCACCATAGGCCTCAAACTGCTTGCAAACATCCCTCTACAGATACTACAAAAAGACTGTTACCAAACTGTTCAATCAACAGAAGGGTTCAACTCTGTGTGATAAATGCACACGTCACCAAGAAGTTTCTCAGAATGCTTCTGTCTAGTTTTTATGTGAAGATATTTCCTTTCTCACAAAGGCCTCAAACCGCTCCAAATATCCATTTGCAGATTCTACAAAAGATGGTTTCCAAACTGTTCAATGAATAGAAAGGTTCAACTATGTGAGATGAAAGCATGCATCACAAATAAGTTTCATAAAATGTTGCTTTCTAGTTTTTATGTAAAGATATTTCCTTTTTCACCATAGTCCTCAAAGTGCTCCAAATATCCATTTGCAGATTCTACAAAAAGTGTGTTTCCAAACTGCTCAATCAAAAGAAAGGTTCAACTCTGTGATATGAAAGCACACATCACAAATAAGTTTTCAGAAATCTTCTGACTAGTTTTATATGAAGATATTTCCTATTTCACCATAGGCCTCAATGAGCTCACAAATATCCCTTTGCAGTTTCTACAAAAGGACTGTTTTGAAACTGCTCAATCAGAAGAAAGGTTCAACTCTGTGAGATGAATGCATACATCACAAAGAAGTTTCTCAGAATGCTTCTGTCTAGTTTTTAGGTGAAGATATTTTCTTTTTCAACATAGACCTCAAACCACTCACAAATATTTCCTTGCAGATTCTACAACAACAGAGTATCCAAATTGATTAATCAACACAATGCTTCACATGAAATCTCTAAAAGAAAACCTAGGCAATACCATTCAGGACATACGCATGGGCAAGGACTTCATGTCTAAAACACCTAAAGCAATGGCAACAAAAGACAAAATTGACAAATGGGATCTCATTAAACTAAGGAGCTTCTGTGCATCAAAAGAAACCACCATCAGAGTGAACAGGCATCCTACAGAATGGGAGAAAATTTTTGCAACCTACTCATCTGACAAAGGGCTAATATCCAGAATCTACAATGAACTCAGACAAATTTAAAGGAAAAAAACAAACAACCCCATCAAAAAGTGGGCGAAGGATATGAACAGACATTTCTCAAAAGAAGACATTTATGCAGCCAATAAACAAATGAAAAAATGCTCACCTTCACTGGCCATCAGAGAAATGCAAGTCAAAACCACAATGAGATATCATCTCACACCAGTTAGAATGGCAATCATTAAAAAGTTAGGAAACAACAGGTACTGGAGAGGATGTGAGAAATAGGAACACTTTTGCACTGTTGGTAGGACTATAAACTAGTTCAACCATTGTGGAAGTCGGTATGGAGATTCCTCAGGAATCTAGAACTAGAAATACCACTTGACCCAGCCATCCCATTACTGCGTATATACCCAAAGGATTATAAATCATGCTGCTATAAAGACACATGCACACGTATGTTTATAGCAGCACTATTCACAATAGCAAAGACTTGGAACCAAAGTAAATGTCCAACAATGATGGACTGGATGAAGAAAATGTGGCACATATACATCATGGAACACTATGCGGCCATAAAAAAATGATGAGTTCATGTCCTTTGTAGGGACATGGATGAAGCTGGAAACCATCATTCTCAGCGAACTATCACAAGGACAAAAAATCAAACACCACTTGTTCTCACTCATAGTTGGGAGTTGATCAAAGAGAACACATGGACACAGGAAGGGAAACATGACACACCACACACCAGGGACTGTAGTCGGGTGGGGGGAGGGGGAGGGATAGCCTTAGGAGATATACCTAATGCTAAATGATGAGTTCATGGGTGCAGCACACAAACATGGCACGTGTATACATGTGTAACAAACTTGCAGGTTGTACACATGTTCCCTAAAAATTAAAGTATAATAATAATAAAAGTAAATAAATAAATAATTAAACCCAGAGCTCCAAAAAAAAATAAAGAAGAATGGTTCAACTTTATGAGAAGAATGCACACATCACAAATAAATTTCTCAGAAAGCTTCTGTCTACATTTTATATGAAGATATTTCCTTTTTCACCATAGGCTTCAAAGCACTCACAAATATCCCTTTGCAGATTCTACAAGAAAAGAGTTTCCCATCTGCTCATTGAAAAGAAACGTTTACCAGTGTGAGATGAATGCACACATTACAAAGCAGTTTTTCAGAAACCTGTCTAGTTTTTATGTGAAGATATTTCCTTTTTCCCCATAGGTCTCAAAGCAATCACAAATATCCCATTGCTGATTCTACAAAAAGACTGTTTCCAAACTGCTCAATCAAAAGAATCGTTCAACTGTTGGAGATGAGTGCACACCTAACACAGAAGTGTCTCAGAAAGCTTCTGTCTAGTTTTCACGTGAATATATTTCCTTTTTCACCATTGGCCTCCAAGTGTTCACAAATATCCCTTTGCAGATTCTACAAAATGACGGTTTCCAATGTGTTCAATCAAAAGAAAGGTTCAACTCTGTGAGACGAATTCACACATCACAAAGCAGTTTCTCAGAAACCTTCTTTCTAGTTTTTCTCTGAAGATATTTCCTTTTTCATCATAGGCTTCAAAGTGTTCACAAATATCCTTTTGCAGATTCTACAAAAAGACTCTTACCAAATTGCTCAATCAAAAGAATGTTTCACGTCTGTGAGATGAAGGCACACGTCACAAAAAAGTTTCTCAGAAAGCTTCTGTCTACTTTTTATGTGGAGATTGGAGTGCAGTGGAATGGAATGGAATGGAATGGAATGGAATGGAATGGAAGGGAATGGAATGGACGGGAGTGGAATGGAATGGAATGGAATGGAGACGAGTGGAGTGAAGAGGTGTGGATAGGAGTGGAGTGGAGTGGAGTGGAATGGAATGGAGTGGATTTCAAAGGAATGTAATGGAATGGAGTGGAGTGGAGTGGAGTGGAATGGAATGGAGTGGAGTAGAGTGGAGAGGATTGGAGTGGAGTGGAGGGGATTGGAGTGGAGTGGAGTTGAATGGAGTGGAATGGTATGGAATGGAATGGAATGGAATGGAGTGAAATGGAATGGAATGGAATGGAGTGGAGTGGAGTGGAATGGAGTGAAATGGAGTGAAATGGAGTGGAGTGGAATCGAGTGGAGTGGAATGGAATAGAGTGGAATGGAACGGAGAGGAAACGAATGAAACGGAATGGAACACAGTGGAATGAAGTGTAATGGAGTGCAGTGGAGTTGAGTGGAGCAGATAGGAATGAAGTGCAATGGAATGGAAAGGAATGTAAGGGAGTGGAGTGGAGTGGATTGGAGTGGAGTGGAGTGACATGGAGTGGAATGGCATGGATTGGAGTGGAATGGAATGGAATAGAATGAAATGGAATGGAATTGAAAGGAATGGAATGCAAGAGAACGGAACAGAATGGAGTACAGTGGAGTGGAGTTGACTGGAGTGGATCGGAGTGCAGTGGAATGGAATAGAATGGAATGGAATGGAATGCAATGGAATGGAATGGAGTGGAGTGGAGTGGAATGGAATGCAATGGAATGGAAAGGAATGGAAAGGAATGGGATGGAGTGGAGTGGAATGGAAAGGAGTGGAGTGTAATGGAATGGATTGGAATGGAATGGAAGAAAGTGGAGTGCAGTGGAGTGAATTGGAGTGCAGCGGAATGGAATGGAGTGGAATGGAGTGGAGTAGAGTTGAGTGGTGTGGAGTTGAGAGGGGTGGATAGGAGTGTATTGGAATGGAATGGAATGGAGTGGAGTTTAGTGGAGTGGAGAGGAATTTAATGGAAAGGAGTGGATTGGAATGGTTTGGGATGGAAAGGAATGGAATGGAACACAAAGGAAGGCAATGGAATGGAAAGGAATGGAAAGGAATGGACTGGAATGCAGTGCAGTTGAGTCGAGTCGATCTGAGTGCAGTGGAATGGAGAGAAATGGAATGGAATGGAATGGAATGGAATGGAGTGGAGTGGAGCAGGATGGAAGGGAATGCAGGAGAGTGAAGTAGAGAGGAGTGCAGTGGAGTGGAATGGAATGGAATGGAGTTGAATGGAAGGGAATGGAATGGTGAAATGCATTGTGAGCTAAGATTGTGCCACTGCACTCCAGTCTGGGTGACAGAGTGAGATCCAATTGAAATAAAGTAATCGGATGGAATGCAGTAGAATGGAAGGGAATGGAGTGGAGTGGAGTGGAGGGCAGTGCACTGCAGTGGAACGGAGGGGAATGGAATGGAGTAGAGTGGAATGGAATGGAAAGGAACAGAATGGAATGGAATGGAACAGAATGGAATGGAAGGGAACGGAATGAAGTGGAGTGGAAAGGAGTGAAGTTGACTGGAGTGGATTGGAGTGGAGTCGAATGGAATGGAATGAAATGGCATGGAATGGAGTGGAGTGGAATGGAGTGGAATGGAGGGGAGTGGAGTGGACTGGAAAGGAATGAAATGGAATGCAATGGAATGGTGAAATGTAATGTGAGCTAAGATTGTGCCACTGCACTACAGTCTCGGTGA
>NT_187434.1:0-5674 GCF_000001405.40 Homo sapiens
AAAGTTCAAGTCTGTGAGTTGAGTAGACACATCACAAAGTGGTAACTGAGAATTCTTCTGTCTAGTTTTTATGGGAAGATATTTTCTTTTTCACTTAGGCCTAAAAGTGCTCCATATTTCCAATTACAAATCCTACAAAAAGAGTGTTTAAAAACTGCTCTATGAAAGGGAATGTTCAACTCTCTGAGTTGAATGCAAACATCACAAAGAAGTTCCTGAAAATGCTTCTGTCTACTTTTTACGTGAAGATATTCCCGTTTCCAACAAAGGCCACAAAGCAGGCTAATTTTCCACTTGCAGATTCTACGAAAAGAGTGTTTCAAAAGTTCCCTTTCAAAAGAAAAGTTCAACTCTGTGAGGTGAGTACACACATCACAAAGTACTTTCTGAGAATTCTTCTGTCTAGTTTTTGAGGGAAGATATTTCCTTTTTCACCAGAGACCTCAAAGCACTCCAAGTTTCCACTTACACATTATACAAAAAGAGTGTTTCAAAACTGTTCTATGAAAAGGAATTTTCAATTTTGTGGCTTGAATGCAAGCATCACAAAGAAGTTTCTGACAATGCTACTGTCTAGTTGTTACTTGAACATATTCCCGTTTCCAACGAAATCCTCAAAGCTATCCAAATATCCACTTGCAGATTCCACAAAAAGAGTGTTTCAAAACTGCTCTATCAATAGAAAGATTCAAATCTGTTAGTTACGTACATACATCACAAACAAGTTTCTGAGAATCCTTCTGCTAGTTTTTATGGGAAGATATTTCCTTTTTCAGCATAGGCCTCAAACAGCTCGAAATGTCCACTTCCAGATACTACAAAAAGGGTGTTTCAAACATGCTCTATGAAAGGGAAGGTTCAACTCTGAGACTTGAATGCAGACATCACAAAGCAGTTTCTGAGAATGCTTCTGTCAAGATGTTACATGAAGAGAGTCCCGTTTCCAATGAAATCCTCAAGCTATCAAAATATCCACTTGCAGATTATACAAACAGAGTATTTCAAAACTGCTCTGTCAAAAGAAAGCTTCAACTCTGTTATTTGAGTACACACATCACAAACAAGCTTCTGAGAATGCTTCTATCTAGCTTTTATGGGAAGATATTTCCTTTTTCACCTTAGGCGTCAAAGCGCTCCAAATCTTCACTTCTAGATACTACAAAAAGAGTGTTTCAAACCAATCCTATGAAATGAAATCTTCAACTCGGTGATTTGAATGCAGACATCACAAAGCAGTTTCTGAGAATGCATCTGTCTTGATTTTATATGAAAATAATCCCGTGTCCAACGAAATCCTCAAAGCTATCCAAATGTACACTTGCAGATTCTACAAAAAGAGTGTTTCAAAACTGCTCTGTTAAAAGGAAGGTTCAACTCTGTTAGTTGAGTACACACGTCACAAACAAGTTTCTGAGAATGCTTCTGTCTAGTTTTTATGGGAAGATATTTCCTTTTTCACCGTAGGCATCAAAGCGCACCAAATGTCCACTTCCACATACTACAAAAAGAGTGTTTCAAACCTGCTCTATGAAAGGGAAAGTTGAAACCTATGAGTTGAATGAAAATGTCACAAAAAAGTTTCTGAGAATGCTTCTGTCTACATTTTACATGAAGATATTCCCGTTTCCTATGAAATCCTCAAAGCTATCCAAATATCCACTTGCAGATTCCACAAAAAGAGAGTTTCAAAACTGCTGTATGAATAGAAAGATTCAACTCTATTAGTTGCGTACAAACGTCACAAACAAGTTTCTGAGAATCCTTCTGCTCGTTTTTATGGGAAGATAATTCCTTTTTCAGCATAGGCGTCAAAGAGCTCGAAATGTCCACTTCCAGATACTACAAAAACAGTGTTTGAAACCTACTCTATGAAAGGGAATATTCAACTCTGTAACTTGAATGCAGACATTACAAAAGAGTTTCTGAGAATGCTTCTGTGTAGATTTTATAGGAAGATATTCCCATTTCCAACGAAATCCTCAAAGCTATCCAAATATCCACTTGCAAATTTTACAAAAACAGTGTTTCAAAACTGATCTATCAATAGAGACGTTCAAAAGTGTTAGTTCCATTCATACATAACAAACAACATTCTGAGAATGCTTCTGTCTCGTTTTGAAGGGAAGATATTTCCTTCTTCACCATAGGCGACAAAGCGCTCAAAATGTCCCCTTCCAGATACTACAAAAAGAGTGTTTCAAACCTGCTCTACGAAAGGGAATGTTCAACTTTGTGACTTGACTGCAGACATTACTAAGCATTTTCTGAGAATGCTTCTGTCTAGATTTTACATGAAGATACTCCCGTTTCCAACGAAATCCTCAAAGCTATCCAAATATCAACTTGCAGATTCTACAAAAAGAGTTTTCCAAAAGTCCTATGACAAAAGAAAGGTTCAAATCTATTAGTTGACGGCACGTATCACAACCAAGTTTCTGAGAATGCTTCTGTCTAGTTTATATGGGAAGATATTTCCTTTTTAAACACAGGCGTCAAAGTGCTCGAAATGTCCACTTCCAGATACCACAAAAGGAGAGTTTCAAGTCGGCTATATGAAAGGGAATGTGCAGCTCTGTGACTAGAATGCAGACATCACAAATCACTTTCTGAGAATGCTTCCATCTAGATTTTATATGAAGGTATCCCCGTTACCAACAAAATCCTCAAAACTATCCAAATATCCACTTGCAGATACGACAAAAAGAGTGTTTCAAAACTGCTCTGTCAAAAGGAAGGTTCAACTCTGTTAGTTGAGTACACACATCACAAATAAGTTTCTGAGAATGTTTCTGTCTAGTTTTATGGGAAGACATTTCCTTTTTCACCATAGGCCTCAGAGCGCTTGAAATGTCCATTTCCACATACTACACAAAGAATGTTTCAAACCTGCTCTATGAAAGGGAATGTTCAAATCTATGAGTTGAATGCAAACATCACAAAGAAGTTTCTGAGAATGCTTCTGTCTAGATTTTATATGAAGATATTCCCGTTTCCAATGAAATTTTCAAAGCTCTCCAAATATGCACTTGTAGATTCTACAAAAAGAGTGTTTCCAAACTCCTGTATCAAAACAAAGGTTCAACTCTCTTAGTTGAGGACACACATCACAAATAAGTTTCTGAGAATGATTCTGTCTAGTTTTTATTTGAAGACATTTCCTTTCACACCGTAGGCCTGAAAGTGCTCAAAATGTCCACTTTCAGATACTACAGAGTGTTTCAAACCTGCTCTATGAAAGGGAATGTTCAACTCTGTGACTTGAATGCAAACATCACAAAGCAGTTTCTGAGAATGTTTCCATCTGGATTTTATATGAAGATATTCCCGGAACCAACGAAATCCTCAAAGCTATCTAAATATCCACTTGCAGATTGTACAAAAACAGTGTTTCAAAACTGCTATGTCAAAAGGTAGGTTCAATTCTGTTAGTTCAGTACACACACCAAAAACAAGTTTCTGAGAATGCTTCTATCTATTGTTTATGGGAAGGTATTTCCTTTTTCACCATAGGCCTCAAAGCGCTCCAAATGACCATTTCCACATACTACACAAAGAGTGTTTCAAACCTGCTGTATGAAAGGGAATGTTCAAATCAATGAGTTGAAAGTAAATATCAAAAAGAAGTTTCTGAGAATGCTTCTGTCTAGATTTTATGTGAAGATATTGCCTTTTCCATTGTAATCCTCAAATCTATCCAAATATCCACTTGTAGATTCTAAAAAAAGAGTGTTTCAAAACTGCTCTGTCACGAGGAAGGTTCAACTCTGTTACTTGAGTACACACATCACAAAGAAGTTTCTGAGAAAGCTTCTGTCTACATTTTATGGGAAGATATTTCTTTTTTCACCATAGGCTTCAAAGCGCTCGAAAAGTCCATTTCAACATACTACACAAAGAGTGTTTCAAACCTGCTGTATCAAAGGGAATGTTCAACTCCATGAGTTGAATGCAAACAACACAATGAAGTTTCGGAGAATGCTTCTGTCTAGATTTTATATGAAGGTTTTCCCGCTTCCAACAAAATTTTCAATGCTCTCAAAATATCCACTTGTAGATTCTCCAGAAAGAGTGTTTCCAAACTGCTGTATCAAAACAAAGGTTCAACTCTGTCAGTTGAGGACACACATCACAAATAAGTTTCTGAGAATGCTTCTGTCTAGTTCGGATTTAAAGACATTACCTTTCTCACCTTAGGCCTGAAAGCGCTCGCAATATCCACTTCCAGATACTACAGAAACAGTGATTCAAACCTCCTCTATGAAAGGGAATGTTCAACTAGGTGACTTGAATACAAACATCACAAAGCAGTTTCTGAGAATGCTGCTGTCTACTTTCTATTTGTAATCCCGTTTCCAACGAAATCCTCAGAACTATCGAAATTTCCAATTGCAGATTCCACCAAAAGAGTGTTTCAAAGCTGCTCTGTAAGAAGAAAGTTTCAACTCTGTTAGTTGAATACACACGTCACAAACAAGTTTCTGAGAATGCTTCTGTCTAGTTTTTATGGGAAGATATTTCCTTTTTCACCGTGGGCCTCAAAGCGCTCCAAATGTCCACTCCCACATACTACAAAAAGAGTGTTTCAAACCTGCTGTATGAAAGGGAACGTTCAACTCTATGAGTTGAATGCAAACATTACAAAGAAGTTTCTGAGAATGCTTCTGTCTAGATTTTATATGTAGATATTCCCGTTTCCAACGAAATCCTCAAAGCTATCCAAATATCAACTTGCAGATTCTACAAAAGGAATGTTTCCAAAATGCTGTATCCAAACAAAGGTTCAACTCTGGGAATTGAGGACATACATCACAAAGCAGATTCTGAGAATGCTTCGGTCTAGATTTTACATGAAAATATTCCCGTTTCCAACGAAATCCTCAAAGCTATCCAAATATCCACTTGAAAATGCCACAAAAAGAGTGTTTCAAACCTGCTCTGTGAAAAGGAAGGTTCAACTCTGTTAGTTGAGTACACACATTCACCAAGAGGTTTCTGAGAATGCTGCTGACTAGTTTTTATTTGAAGATATTTCCCTTTTCACCTTAGGCCTAAGAGTGCTCGAAATGTCCATTTCCACATACTACACAAAGTGTGTTTCTAACGTGCTGTATGAAAGGGAATGCTCAACTCTATGAGTTCAATGCAAACATCACAAAGAAGATTCTGAGAATGCTTTTGTCTAGATTTTATATGAAGATATTCCCATGTCCAACGAAATTTTCAAAGATCTCCAAATATCCATTTGTAGATTCTACAAAAAGAGTGTCTCCAAACTGCTGTATCAAAACAAAGGTTGAACTCTGTGAGTTGAGGTCACACATCACAAATAAGTTTCTGAGAATGCTTCTGTCTAGTTTTTATTTGAAGATATTTCCTTTTTCACCATAGGCCTGAAAGCGCTCAAAATGCCCACTTCCAGATAGTACAGAAAGAGTGTTTCAAACCTGCTCTATCAAAGGGTATGTTCAGCTCTGTGAGTTCAATGCAAATATCACAAAGCAGGTTCTGAGAATGCTTCCATCTAGATTTTATGGGAAGATATTCCCGTTTCCAACGAAATCCTCAAAGCTATCCAAATATCCACTTACAGATTCTACAAAAGAGTGTTTCAAATCTGCTCTCTCAAAGATACGTTCAACTCTGTTAGTTGAGTACACACATGGCAACAGATTCC
>NT_187435.1:0-8127 GCF_000001405.40 Homo sapiens
CAAAGAGAGATTCAAAACTGCTCTATCAAAAGATACGTTGTACTCTGTGAGTTGAAAGCGCAAATCACAAAGAAGTTTCTCAGAATGCTTCTGTGCAGATTTTATGTGAAGACATTTGATTTTCCACAGTTAGCCTCAAAGCGCTCCCAGTATCCACTTGCAGAATCTGCAAAGGAGAGATTCAAAACTGCTGAATCAAAAGATAAGTCCAACTCTGTGACTCCAATGCACACCTCACAAAGAAATTTCTCAGAATGCTACTCTGTAGTTTTTATGTGAAGATAACTCCTTCTCCAAAATAGGGCTCAAAGCCATCCAAATTTCCACTTCCAGATTCTACGAAAAAAGTGTCTCAAAACTGCTCAATCAAAACAAAGGTTCATCTCTGTGTGATGAATGCACTCATCACAAAGAAGTTTCTCTGAATGCTTCTGTGTAGTTTTTATTTGAAGATATTTGCTTTTCCACCATAGGGCGAAAGAGGGCTCCAAATATCCACTTGCAGATTCTGCAGAACGAGAGATTCTAAACTGCTCAATCAAAAGATAGGTTCAACACTGTGAGTTGAATGCACACATCACAAAGAAGTTTCACAGAATGCTTCTCTGTAGTTTTTATGTGAAGATATATTCTTTTCCACAATAGGCATCAAATCGCTCTAAATATCCACTTGCAGATTCTACAAAAAGAGTGTTTGAAAACTGCTCAATCAAGAGAAAGGTTCAACTCTGTGAGATGAATGCATACATCACAAAGAAGTTTCTCAGAATACTTCTGTGTAGTTTTTATGTGAAGATATTTCCTTTTTCAAAATAGGCCTCAAAAGACTCCAAATATCCACTTGAAGATTCTACAAAAAGAGTGATTCAAAACTGCTGAATCAGAAGAAAAGTTCAACTCTGTGAGATGAATGCATACATCTCAAAGTAGTTTCTCAGAATACTTCTGTGTAGTTTTTATTTGAGAATATTTGCTTTTCCATGGAGGCCTCTAAGGGCTCCAAATATAAACTTTCAGATACTACAAAAATTTTGTTTGAAAACTGCTCAATCATAAGATAGGTTCAACTCTGTGAGTTGAACGCTCACATCACAAAGAATTTTCTCGGAATGCTTCTGTGTAGTATTTAGTTGAAGATATTTTCTTTTCCACAGTAGGCCACAAAGCGCTCCAAATACCTACCTGCAGATTCTACAAAAAGAGTGTTTCAAAACTGCTCTATCATAAGATAGGTTCAACTCTGCGAGTTGAACGCACACATCACAAAGAAGTTTCTCAGAATGCTTCTGTGTAGTTGTTATGTGAAGATATTTCCTTTTCCAGCATAGGGCGCAAAGAGCTCCAAATATCCAATTGCAGATTCTATAAAAAGAGGAACTCAAAAGTGCTCAACGAAAAGATAAGTTCAACTCTGCGTGTTGAATGCACAACTCACAAAGAAGTTTCTCAGGATGCTTCTGTATAGTTTTTTTTGTGAAGATATTTCCTTTTCCAAATAGGCCTCAAAGCTCTCCAGATATCCACTTGTAGATTCTGCAAAAAGAGAGATTCAAAACTGCTCTATCAAAAGATAGGTTCAATTCTGTGATTTGAAAGCACACATCATGAGGAAGTTTCTCAGAATGCTTCTGTGCATTTTTTATATGAAGATATTTTCTTTTCCACCATAGGGCGCAAAGAGCTCCAAATATCCAATTGCAGATTCTACAAAAAGAGATATTCAAAACTGTTCAATGAAATGATAGGTTCAACTCTGTGAGTTGAATGCACACCTCACAAAGAAGTTTCTCAGGATGCTTCTCTGTAGGTTTTATGTGAAAATATTTCATTTTTCACAATTTTCCTCAAAGCTCTAAAATATCCACTTGCAGATTCTACAAAAAGAGTGTTTCAAAAGTGTTCAATCAAAGGAAAGTTTCACCTCTCTGTGATGAATACACTCACAACGAAGAAGTTTCTCTGAATGCTTTTGTGTGGTATTTAGTTGAAGATATTTCCTTTTACACCACAGGCCACAGAGATCTCCAAATATCCACTTGCAGATTCTACAAGAAGAGAGACTAAAAACTTCTCAGTCACAAGATAGTTTAAACTATGTGATTTGAAAGCACACATGACAAAGAAGTTTCTCAGAATGCGTCTGTGTAGTTTTTATGGGAAGATATTTGATTTTCCACTGTAGGCCTCAAAGCGCTCCAAATATCCACTTGCAGATTCTGCAAAAAGAGAGATTCAAAACTGATCAATAAAAAGATAGGTTCAACTCTGTGAGTTGAATGAACACCTCACAAAGAAGTTTCTCAGAATGCTTCTGTGTAGTTTTTATGTGAAGATATTTCCTTTTCCACCATAGGGCAAGAAGGTCTTCAAATATCTACTTGCAGATTCTATAAAAAGAGAGATTCTAAACTGCTCAATCAAAAGATAGGTTCAACTCTGTGAGTTTAGTGCACACATCACAAAAATGTTTCTCAGAATGTTTCTGTGTGGTTTTTAAATGAAGATATTTCCTTTTCCAAAATATGCCTCAAATCACCCCAAATATCCACTTGCAGATTCTACAAAAAGTGTGTTTCAAAACTGCTCCATCAAAATAAAGGTTTAACTCTGTGAGATGAATGCACACATCACAAAGGAGTCTCTCAGAATGCTTCTGTGTAGTTTTTATATGATGTTATTTCATTTCCATGGTAGGCCTCAAAGCGCTCCAAATATCCACTTGCAGATCCTACAAAAAGAGCATATCAAAACTGCTCAATCATAAGATAGGTTCAACCCTGTGAGATGAATGCACACATCACAAAGAAGTTTCTCAGAATATTTCTGTGTAGTTTTCATTTGAAGATATCTCCTTTTCCACCATAGGCCACAAAGTGCTCCAAACCTCCACTTGCAGATTCTACAAAAAGAGAAATTAAAAACTGCTCAATCAAAAGATAGGTTCAACTCCGTGATTTGAATGCACACATCTCAAAGAAGTTTTGCAGAATGCCTCTGTGTAGATTTTATGTGAAGATATTTGCTTTTCCACAGTATGCCTCAAAAGGATCCAAATATCCACTTTCAGTTTCTGCAAAATGAGAGATTCCAGACTCCTCAATCAAAAGATATGTTCAACTCTGTGAGTTGAATGCACACATAACAGAGAAGTTTCTCAGAATATTTCTGTGTAGTTTTTATATGTAGATATTTCCTTTTCCGAAATAGACCTCAAAGCCCACAAAATATCCACTTCCAGATTCTACAAAAAGAGTGTTTCAAAACTGCTCAATCAAAAGATTGGTTCACCTCTGTGAGTTGAATGCACACATCACAAAGTAGTTTCTCAGAATGCTTCTGTGTAGTTTTTATTGGAAGATATTTCCTTTTCCACAATAGGCCTCATATCTCACCAAATATCCACTTGCTGATTCTATAAAAAGAGTGTTTTGAAACTGTTCAATAAAAAGAAAGTTTCAACTCTGTGTGATGAATACACTCATCACAAAGAAGTTTATCTGAATCCTTCTGTGTAGTTTTTATTTGAAGATATTTCCTTTTCAAATATAGGGCACAAAGGGCTCCAAAAGTCCACTTGAAAATTCTACAAAAAGAGAGATCCAAAACTGCTCAATCAAAAGATAAGTTCAACTCTGTGAGTTGAAGGCACACCTCACAAAGAACTTTCTCAGAATCCTTCTGTGTAGTTTTTATGTGAAGATATTTCCTTTTCAACAGTACGCCTCAAAGCTCTCCAAATATCCACTTGCAGATTCTGCAAAAAGAGAGATTCAATAATGCCCAATCAAAAGATAAGTTCGACACTCTGTGTTTAAAGCATTCATCACAAAGAGGTTTCTCAGAATGCTTCTGTGTAGTTTTTATGTGAAGATATCTCCTTCTTCAAATAAGCCTCAAAGCCCTCAAATACCCCCTTCCAGATTCTACAAAAAGAGTGCTTCAAACTGCTCAATGCAAAGAAAGTTTCAACTCTGTCTGATTAACGCACTCATCACAAAGGAGTTTCTCTGAATGCTTCCTTGTAGTTTTTATTTGAAGATATTTCCTTTTCCACAATAGGCCTCAAATCGCTCCAAATATCCACTTGCAGATTCTACAAAAAGAGTGTTTCAAACTGCGCAATCAAAAGAAGGGTTCAACTGTTAGATGAATGCACATATCAAAAAGAACTTTCTCAGAATGCTTGTGTGTAGTTTTTATGTGAGGATATTTCCTTTCCCACAATAGGCTTCAAATCGCTCCAAATATCCACTTGCAGAATGTACAAAAAGAGTGTTTCAAAACTGCCGAAACAAAAGAAAGGTTTAACTCTGTGAGATGAATGCGCACATCAAAAAGAAGTTTCTCAGAATGCTTCTGTGTGATTATTATGTGAAGATATTTCCTTTTCCATGGAGGTCTCAAAGGCCTCCAAGTATCCAATTGCAGTTTCTAGAAAAAGAGTGTTTAAAAACTGCTCAATGAAAAGAAAATTTCCACTCTGTCAGATGAATGCACACAGCACAAAGAAGTTTGTCAGATTGCTTCTGCGTAGTTTTTATCTGAAGATATTTGCTTTTCCATGGTAGGCCTCAAAGCACTCCAAATATCCACTTGCAGATTCTACAAAAAGAGTTTTTTGAAACTGCTCAATCAGAAGATAGGTTCAACCCTGTGAGACGAATGCACACATCACAAAGATGTTTCTCAGAATGCTTCTGTGTAGTTTTTATTTGAATATATTTCCTTTTCAATCATAGGCTGCAAAGGGCTCCAAATATCCACTTGCAGATTCTACAAAAAGAGAGATTCAAAACTGCTCAATCAAAAGACAGGTTCAACTCTGTGAGTTCAATGCACACATCACAAAGTAGTTTCTCTGAATGCTCCTGTGTAGTTTTTATATGAAGAGATTTCCTTTTCCACAATAGGCCACAGTGCTCTCCAAATATCCACTTGCTGATTCTGCAAAAATAATGTTTCAAAACTGCTCAATAAAAAGGAAGTTTCAACTCTGTGGGATGAATGCACTCATCACAAAGAAGTTTCTCTGAAGGCTTCTGTGTAGTTGTTATTTGAAGTTATTTCCTTTTCCACCATAGGTTGCAAAGGGCTCTAAATATCCACTTGCAGATTCTACAAAAAGAGACATTCAAAACTGCTCAATGAAAAGATAAGTCCAACTCTGTGGGTTGAATCTATACCTCACAAAGAAGTTTCTCAGAATGCTTCTCTGTAGTTTTTATGTGTAGATATTTCCTTTTCACAATAGGCCTCAAAGCTTTCCAAATATCCACTTGCAGATTCTGCAAAAAGAGAGATACAAAACTGCTCTATCAAAAGATAGGTTCGACTCGGTGAGTTGAATGCAAACATCACAAAGAAGTTTCTCAGAATGCTTCTGTGTAGTTTTTATGTGAAGATGTTTTGTTTTCCACCATAGGGCGAAATGGGGCTCCAAATATCCACTTGCATTTTCTACAAAAAGAGAGATTCTAAGCTGCTCAATCAAAAGATAGGTTTAACACTGTTAGTTGAATGCACACATCCCAAAGAAGTTTCTCAGAATGCTTCTGCGTAGTTTCTATGTGAAGATATTTCCTTTTCTACAATAGGCCTCAAATCTCTCTAAATATCCACTTGCAGATTCTACAAAAAGAGTGTTTCCAAACTGCTCAATCATAAGATAGGTTCAACTCTGAGAGTTGAATGCACACATCACAATGAAGTTTTTCAGAATGCTTCTGTTTAGTTTTAATTTGAAGATACTTCCTTTTCCAAAACAGGCTTCAAAGCTCTCCAAATATCCACTTGTTGATTCTGCAAAAAGAGGGTTTTAATACTGCTCAATAAAAAGAAAGGTTCAACTCTGTGTGAGGAATGCATTCATCACAAAGAAGTTTCTCAGAAAGCTTCTGTGTAGTTTTTATATGAAGATATCTCCTTCTCCAAAACAGAACTCGAAGCCCTCCAAATATTCACTTCAAGATTCTACGGAAAGATTGTCTCAAAACTGCTAAATCAAAATAAAGTTTCAAATCTGTGTGATGAATGCATTCATCACAAAGAAGTTTCTCTGAATGCTTCTGTGTAGTTTTATTTGAAGATATTTGCTTTTCCACTATAGGGCGAAATAGGGCTCCAAATATTCACTTGCAGATTCTACAAAAAGAGAGATTCCAAACTGCTCAATCAAAAGATAGGTTCAACACTGTTAGTTGAATGCACACATCACAAAGAAGTTTCACAGAGTGCTTCTGGGTAGTTTTTATTTGAAGATATTTCCCTTTCCACAATAGGCCTCAAAACTTTCCAAATATCCACTTGCAGATTCTACAAAAAGAGTGTTTCAGAACTGCTCAATCAAAAGAAAGGTTCTACTCTGTGAGATGAATGCACACATCACAAAGCAGTTTCTCAGAATGCTTCTGTGTAGTTTTTATGTGAAGATATTGGTTTTTCCACAGTAGCCCCCAATAAGCTCCAAATATTCACTTGCAGATTCTACAAAAAGAGTGTTTCAAAAGTGCTCAATCATAAAATAGGATCAACCCTGTGAGATGAATGTATGTATGACAAAGAGGTTTCTCAGAATGCTTCTGTGTAGTTTTTATGGGAAGATATTTGATTTTCCACAGTAGGCCTCAAAGTTCTCCAAATATCCACTTGCAGATTATGCAAAAAGAGAGATTCAAAACTGCTCAATCAAAAGATAGGTTCAACTCTATTAGTTGAAAGACCACATCACCAAGAAGTTTCTCAGGATGCTTCTGTGTAGTTTTTATGTGAAGATATTTGGTTTTCCACAGTAGGCCACAAAGCACTCCAAATATCCACTCACAGATTCTGCAAAAAGAGAGATTCAAAATTGCTGAATCAAAAGATAGTTTGAACTCTGTGACTTCAGTGCACACCTCACAAAGATGTTTCTCAGAATGCTTCTCTGTAGTTTTTATATGAAGATATCTCCTTCTCCAAAATAGATCTCAAAGCCCTCCAAATATTCACTTCCAGATCCTATGGAAAGATGGTCTCAAAACTGCTCAAGCAAAACAAAGGTTCAACTCTGTGAGAAGAATGCACACATCACGAAGAAGTTTCTCAGAATACTTCTGTGTAGTTTTTATTTGAGGATAGTTCCTTTTCCACCATAGACCACAAAGGGCTCCAAATATCCACTTGCACATGGTACAAAAAGAGAGATTCAAAACTGCTCAATCAAAAGGTAGTTTCAACCCTGTGATATGAATGCACACAGCACAGAGAAGTTTCTCAAAATGCTTCTGTCTAGTTTTTATTTGAAGGTATTACCTTTTCCACCATAGGCCGCAAACATCTCCAAATATCCACATGCAGCTTCTACAAAAAGAGAGATTCAAAACTGCTCAATCAAAAGATAGGTTCAACTCTGTGAGTTGAATGCACACCTCACAAAGAAGTTTCTCAGAATGCTTCTGTGTGTTTTTATGTGAAGATATTTCCTTTTCCACAATAGGCCTCAAAGCTCTCCAAATATCCGCAAGCAGAGTCTACAAAAAGAGAGATTCAAAACTGCTCAATGAAAAGATAGGTTCAACTCTGTGAGTTGAATGCACATCTCACAAAGAAGTTTCTCAGAATGCCTCTGTGTAGTTTTTATGTGAAGATATTTACTTTTCCACAATTGTCCCAAAGCTCTAAAATATCCACTTGCAGACCCTCTAAAAGAGTGTTTCAGAGTTGCTCAATCAAAGGAAAGGATCAACTCTGTGTGACGAATGCACTCATCACAAAGAAGTTTGTCTGAATGCTACTGTGTAGAATTGATTTCAAGATCATTCCTTTTCCACCACAGTCTGCAAAGGACTAAAAATATCCACTTGCAGATTCTACAAAAAGAGAGATTCAAAACTGTTCAATCACAAGATAGGTTCAACTCGGTGATTAGGAAGCACACATGACAAACAATTTCTGAGAATGCTTCTGTGTAGTTTTTAAGGGAAGATATTTGATTTTCAAAAGTAGGCCTCAAAGCGCTCCAAATATCCACTTGCAGATTCTGAAAAAAGAGAGATTCAAAACTCCTCAATCAAAAGATAGCTTCTACTCTGTGAGTTGAATGCAAACCTCACAAAGATGTTTCTCAGAAGGCTTCTGTGTAGTTTTATA
>NT_187436.1:0-6361 GCF_000001405.40 Homo sapiens
GAGCCGTTTAGATTATCTCTTTTTTGTAGAATCTGCAAAGTGATATTTGGAGCCCTTAGCAGCTATGGTGGAAAAGGAAATATCATCAAATAAAAACTACACAGAAGCATTCTGAGAAACATCTTTATGATGTTTGCATTCATCTCACAGGGTGGAACCTGTCTTTTGATTGAGTAGTTTAGAATCTCTCTTTTTGTAGAATCTGCAAGTGGTTATTTGAGCCCTATTTCACCCAATAGTGGAAAAGCAAATATCTTCAAATAAAAACTACACAGAAGCATTCAGAGAAACTACTTTGTGATGAGTGCATTCATCACACAGAGTTGAACGTTAGTCTTGATTGATCAGTTTTGAGACATTCTTTCCGTAGAATCTGAAAGTGAATATTTGGAGGGCTTCGAGTCTTATTTTGGAGAAGGAGATATCTTCATATAAAAACTACACAGAAGCATTCTGAGAAACTTCCTTGTGAGGTGTGCATTGAACTCAAAAAGTTGAATCTATCTTTTGATTCAGCAGTTTTGAATCTCTCTTTTTTGCAGAATCTGAGAGTGGATATTTGGAGCTCTTTGAGACCTACTGTGGAAAATCAAATATCTTCACATAAAAACTACACAAAAGTATTCTGGGAAACCTCTTTGTGATTAGTACACTCATGTCACAGAGTTGATCCTTTCTTTTGATAGAGATGTTTTGAAACACTGTTTTTGTAGAATCTACAAAGGGTTATTTGGTGGAAAAGGAAATATTCTCAAATAAAAACTACACAGAAACATTCTGAGAAACTTCATTGTGATGTGTGCATTCAACTCACAGAGTTGAACCTATTTTTTGATTGAGCAGTTTTGAATCTCTCTTTTTGTAGAATCTGCAAGTGGATATTTGGAGCCCTTAGTGCCCTGTGGTGGAAAAGGAAATATTTTCAAATAAAAACTACAAAGAAGCATTCGGAGAAACTTCTTTGCGATGTGTGCATTCATCTCACAGAGTTGAAACTTTCTTTTGACTGAGCAGTTTTGAAACACTCGTTCTATAGAATCTGCAAGAGGATATTTGGAGCACTTTGAGACCTACATTGGAAAATCAAATATCTTCTATAAAAACTACACAGAAGCATTCTGAGAAACTTCTTTGTCATGTGTGCTTTCAAATCACATAGTTTAAACTATCTTGTGACTGACCAGTTTTTAATCTCTCTTTTTGAAGAATCTGCAAGTGGATATTTGGAGCCCTTTTTGACCTATGGTAGAAAAGGAAATATCTTCAAATAAAAACTACACAGAAGCATTCTGAGAAACTTCTTTGAAATGTGTGCATTCGTCTTTCGGGGATGAACCTATCTTATGATTGAGCAGTTTTGAAACATTCTTTTTGTAGTATCTGCAAGTTTATATTTAGAGCCCTTAGAGGCCTCCGTGGAAAAACAAATATCCTCACATTAAAACTACACAGAAGCATTCTGAGAAACTTCTTTGTGTTGTGTGCATTCATCTCACAGAGTTGAAACTTTCTTTTGATTCAGCACTTTTGAAACACTCTTTTTGCATAATCTTCAAGTGGATAATTGGAGCCTTTTGAGGCCTATTGTGGAAAAGGAAATATCTGCACATAAAAACTATGCAGAAGAATTCTGAGAAACTTCTTTGTGAGGTTTGCTTTCAACTCACAGAGTTGAACATATCTTTTAATTGAGTAGTTTTGAATCTCCCTTTTTGCCGTATCTGCAAGTGGATATTTGCAGCACTTTGAGGCCTACTGTGGAAAATCAATGATCTTCCCATAAAAACTACACAGAAGTAGTCTGAGACACTTCTTTGTGATGTGTGCTTTCAACTCACAGTGTCAGACATATCTTTTGAATGAACAGTTTTGAATCTCTCTTTTTGAAGTATCTGCAAGTGGATATTTGGAGAGCTTTGAGGCCTATTTTGGAAAAGGAAATACCTTCACATAAAAACTACACAGAAGCATTCTTAGAAACTTCTTTGTGAGTTGTGCATTCAACTCACAGAGTTGAACTTATCTTGTCATTGAGAACTTTTGAATCTCTTTTTGTAGAATCTGCAAGTGGATATTTTGAGCCCTTTGTGCCTTATGGTGGAATAAGAAATATCTTCAAATAAAAACTACACAGAAGCATTCAGAGAAACTTCTTTGTGATGAATGCATTCCTCACACAAAGTTGAACCTTTCTTTTTATTGAGCTGTTTTGAAACACCCTTTTTGCAGAATGACCAATTGGATATTTGGAGAGTTTTGAGGCCTATTGTGTAAAAGGAAATATCCTCAAATAAAAACTATACAGAAGCATTCTGAGAAACTTCATTGTGATGTGTGCATTCAACTCACAGAGTTGAACCTATCTTTTGACTGAGCAGTTTTGAATCTCTCTTTTTGTAGAATCTGCAAGTGGATATTTGGAGCCCTTTGTGCCTTATGGTGGAAAAGGAAATATCTTCATATAAAAACGACACAGAAGCATTCAGAGAAACTTCTTTGTGATGAATACATTCCTCACACGGAGTTGAACCTTTCTTTTTATTGAGCAGTTTTGAAACGTCCTTTTTGAAGAATGACCAAGTGGATATTTGTACAGTGTGGGGCATATTGTGGAAAAGGAATTATCTTCACATTAAAACTACGTGGAAGCATTCTGAGAAAATCATTTGTGATGAGTGCATTCATCACACAGAGTTGAACCTTTATTTTTATTGAGCAGTTTTGAAACACTCTTTTTGCAGAATCAGCAAGTGGATATTTGGAGAGCTTTGAGGCCTGTTGTGGAAAAGTAAATATCTTCAAATAAAAACTACACCGAAGCATTCTGAGAAACTTCTTTGTGATGTGCGCATTCACATCACAAGTTTGAACCTAACTTATGATTGAGCAGTTTTGAAACACTCTTTTTGTAGAATCTACAAGTAGATATTTGGAGCGATTTGAGGCCTATTGTAGAAAAGGAAATGTCATCAAATAAATACTACACAGAAGCATTCAGAAAAACTTCTTTGTTATGAGTGCATTCATCACACAGAGTTGAACCTTTCCTTTGACTGAACAGTTTTGAAACACTCTTTTTGCAGAATCTGCAAGTGCATATTTTAGAGCTTTGAGGACAATTGTGGAAAAGGAAATATCTTCACATAAAAACTACCCAGAAGCATTCTGAGACACTTCTTTTTGATGTGTGCATTCATCTCATAGAGATGAAACTTTCTTTTGATTGAGCAGTTTTGAAAAACTATATTTGTAGAATCTGCAAGTGGATATTTGGAGAGCTTTGAGGCGTATTTTGGAAAAATAAATATCTTCACATAAAAACTATACAGAAGCATTCTGAGAAACTTCTTTGTGAGGTGTGCATTCAACTCACGGATTTGAACTTTTCCTTTCATTGAGCACTTTTGAATCTGTCTTTTTCTAGAATCTGCAAGTGGATATTTGGAGCTCTTTGCACCCTGTGTTGGAAAAGGAAATATCTACAAATAAAAACTACACATAAGCATTCTGAGAACTTCTTTGTGTTGAGTGCATTCATCACACAGAGTTGAATGTTTCCTTTGATTGAACAGTTTTGAAACACTCTTTTCGTATAATTTGGAAGTGGATATTTGGAGGGCTTTGAGGACTATTTTGGAAAAGGAAATATCTTCACATAAAAACTACACAGAAGCATTCTGAGAAACTTCCTTTTTATGTGTGCATTCAACTCACATAGTTGAATCTATCTTTTGATTGAGCCATTTGGAATCTCTCTTTTGTAGAATCTGCTAGTGAATATTTGGAGACCTTTGTGGCCTATTGTGGAAAAGGAAATATCTTCAAATAAAAACGACACAGAAGAATTCTGGGAAACTTCTCTGTGATGTGTGCATTCAGCTCACACGTTTGAACCTATCTTATGATTGAGCAGTTTTCAATCTCTCTTTTTGTAGACTATGCAAGTGGATATTTGGAGCCCTTTGTGCCCTATGGTTGAAAAGGAAATATCTTCAAATAAAAACTACACAGAAGCATTCAGAGAAATGCCTTGGTGATGAGTGCATTGATCAAAAAGAGTTTAAAGTTTCTTTTGACTGAGCAGTTTCGATACACTCTTTTTGTAGAAACTCATAGTAGCTATTTGGAGGGCATTGAGGCCTATTTTTGGAAAAGATATATCTTAATATAAAAACTACACAGAATTATTCTGAGAAACTCCTTTATTATGTGTGCATTCAACACACAGAGTTGAGCCTATCTTTTGATTGAGCAGTTTTGAATCTCTCTTTTTGCAGAATCTGCAAGTTGATATTTGTAACGTTCTGAGGCCTACTGTGGAAAAGCAAATATCTTCAAATAAAAACTACACAGAAGCATTCTGAGAAACTTTTTTGTGAGGTGTGCATTCAACTCACAGAGTCGAACCCATCTTTTGATTGAGCAGTTTTGAATCTCTCTTTTTGCAGAACCTGCAAGTGGATATTTGGAGTGCTTTGAGGCCTATAGTGGAAAAGGAAATATCTTCACATAAAAACTACACAGAGGCATTCTGAGAAAATACTTTGTGATGTGTGCATTCAACTCACAGAGTTGAACCTATCTTTTGATTGAGCAGTTTTGAATCTCTCTTTTTGTAGCATCTGCAGGTGGATATTTGGAGCCCTTTGTGGCCTACAGTGGAAAAGGAAATATCTTCAAATAAAAACTAAACAGAATCATTCCGGGAAACGTCTTTGTGATGAGTGCATTCATCACAAAGTGTTGAATCTCTCTCTTGACTGAGTAATTTGGAAACACTCTTTTTGTAGAATCTGGAAGTGGATATTTGAAAAGCTTTGTGGTCTAATTTGGAAAAGGAAATTTCTTCAGATAAAAACTACACAGAAGCTTTCTGGGAAACTTCGTTGTTAGCTGTGCATTCAAGTCACAGATTTTAACCTATCTTTTGATAGAGCAGTTTTGAAACTCTCTTTTTGTAGAATCCGCAAGTGGATATTTGGAGCTTTTTGCGGCCTATGTTAGAAAATGAAATACTCTCACATAAAATCTATACAGAAGCTATCTGAGAAATTTGTTTGTGATGTGTGCATTCATCTCAAAGAGATGAACCTTTCTTTTGATTGAGCAGTTTCAAAACACTCTTTTTGTAGAATCTGCAAGTGGACATTTGGAGTGTTTTGTGGCCTATGGTAGAAAAGGAAATATCTTCACATAAAATCTAGACACAAGCAATCTGAGAAACTTCTTTGTGATGTGTGCCTTTATCTCACAGAGTGAAATCTTTCTTTTGATAGAGCAGTTTTGAAACACTCTTTTTGCAGAATCTGCAAGTGGTCATTTGGAGTGCTTTGTGGCCTTCGGTGGAAAAGGAAATATCTTAACATAAAATCTAGACAGAAGCAATATGAGAAACTTCTTTGTGATGTGTGCGTTCATCTCACAGAGTTGATCTTTTTTTTTGATGGAGCAGATTTGGAACTCTCTTTTTGTAGTATCTGCAAGTGGAAAATGGGAGTGCCCTGTGGCCTATTGTGGAAAATAAATTATCTTCACTTAAAAACTACACAGGAGAATTATGAGAAACTTCTTTGTGATGCGTGCGTTCATCTCACTGAGTTGAATCTTTTTTTTTGATTAAGCAGTGTGGAAACACTCTTTTTATTGAATCTGCAAGTGGACATTTGGAGTACTTTGTGGCATATGGTAGAAAAAGAAATATCCTCACATAAAATCTATACAGAAGCAATCTGTGAAACATCTTTGTAATGTGTGCATTCATCTCACAGAGTTAAAAATTTCTTTTGATAGAGTAGTTTTGAAACTCTCTTTTGTAGAATCTGCAAGTGAACATTTGGAGCACTTAAAGGCCTATGGTGGAAAAGGAAATATCTTCACATAAAAACTAGACAGAAGAATTCTGAGAAACTTCTTTGTGATGTGTGGCTTCATCTTACAGATTTGAACCTTTCTTTTGATTGAGCAGTTTGGAAACACTATTTTGTAGAATCTGCAAGTGGATATTTGGAGCGCTTTGCGGCCTAAGGTAGAAAAGGAAATATCTTTACATAAAATCTAGAGAGAAGCAGTCTGAGAAACTTATTTGTGATGGGTGCATTCATCTCACAGAGTTAAACCTTCCTTTTGATTGAGAAGTCTTGAACTCTCTTTTTGAAGGATCTGCAAGTGGATATTTGTAGCACTTTGTGGCTGACGTTAGAAAAGGAAATATCTTCACATAAAATGTAGACAAAAGCAATCTTAGAAACTTCTTTGTGATGTGTGCATTCATCTCACAGAGTTAACGCTCTTTTTTGTTTGAGCAGTTCTGAAACTCTCTTTTGTTGAATCTGCAAGATGACATTTGGGACGCTTTGACGCC
>NT_187437.1:0-5353 GCF_000001405.40 Homo sapiens
TCTTTGTGATATGTGCATTCATCCTACAGAGTTGAACCTTACTTTTGATTTAGCAGTTTTGAAGCCCCCTTTTGGTAAAATCTGTGATTGGACATTTGGAGTGCTTTGACGCCTTTGGTGGAAAAGGAAATATCGTCACATAAGAACTAGACAGAAGCATTCTGACAAACTTCTTTGTGATGTGTGCATTCATCTCAGAGAGTTGAACATTTATTTTGATTGAGCAGGTTTGAAAACCTCTTTTACTGGAGTCTGCAAGTGGACATTTCTAGCACTTTGAGGCCTATGGTAGAAAAGGAAATATCTTCACATAAAATCTAGACAGACACATTCTGACAAACACCTTTGTGATGTGTGCATTCATCTCACAGAGTTGAACGTTACTTTTGATTGAGCAGTTTTGAAACACTCTCTTTGTAGAATCTGCAAGTGGACATTTGGAGCGCTTTGAGGCCTATGGTGGATAACGAAATATCTTCGTATAATAAAGAGAAAGAAGCATTCTGAGAAACTTCTTTGTGATGTGTGCACTCATCTCACAGAGTTGAACCTTACTTTTGATTTAGCAGTGTGGAAACCCTCTTTTTGTAGAATCTGCAAGTGGACATTTGGAGCACTTTAAGGCCTATGGTAGAAAAGGAAATATCTTCACATAAAATATAGACAGAAGCAATCTTGGAAATTTCTTTGTGATGTGTGCATTCATCTCACAGAGTTAAACCTTTCTTTTGATTGAGCAGTTTTGAAACTCTCTTGTATTATCTGCAAGTGGACTTTTTGAGTGCTTTGTGGCCTGTGGTGAAAAGGAATTAACTTCACATATAATCTACAAGAAGCAATCTGAGAAACTTCTTTGTGATGTGTGCATTCATCTCACAGAGTTAAACCTTTCTTCAGTTTGAGCAGTTTTGGAACAGTCTTTTTGTAGATTCTGCAAATGGACACTTGTAGTGCTTTGAGGCCTACGGTGGAAAATGAACTATCTTCACATAAAAACTAGACAGAAGAATTCTGAAAAACTTCTTTGTGATGTGTGTATTCA
This sequence comes from Homo sapiens, assembly GCF_000001405.40. Lineage (NCBI taxonomy): Eukaryota > Metazoa > Chordata > Mammalia > Primates > Hominidae > Homo > Homo sapiens. The sequence continues at coordinate 1,043 of NT_187437.1, forward strand.
TCTCACAGAGTTGAACCTTTCTTTTGATTGAGCAGTTTGGAAACACTCTTTTTGCAGAATCTGAAAGTGGACATTTGGAGAGCTTTGCAGCCTATGGTGGAAAAGGAATTATCTTCACATAAAATCTAGACAGAAGAAATCTGAGAAACTTCTTTGTGATGTGTGCATTCATCTCACAGAATTAAACATTTCTTTTGATTGAGCAGTTTTGAAACTCTCTTTTTGTAGAATCTGCAAGTGGACATTTGTAGCGCTTGAGGCCTATGGCGGAGGAGGAAGCATCTTCACATAAAAACCAGACAGAAGAATTTTGTAAAACTTCTTTGTGAGGTGTGCATTCATCTCACAGAGCTGAAGCTTTCCTTTGATTATGCAGTTTGAAAGCACTCTTTTTGTAGAATCCACAAGTGGACGTTTAGAGTGATTTGAAGACTGTGGTAGAACTGGAAATATCTGGACATAAAATCTGGACAGAAGCCATCTGAGAAACTTCTTTGTGATGTGTGCTTTCATCTCACAGTGTTAAACTTTTCTTTTGCTTGAGCAGTTTTGAAACTCTCTTTTTGTAGAATCTGCAAGTTGGTATTTGGAGCTCTTTGAGGCCTATGGTGGAAAATGAAATATCTTCACATAAAAACTAAACAGAAGCATTCTGACAAACTTTTTCGTGATGCATGTGTTCACCTCACAGAGTTGAACCTTTCTACTGATTGAGCAGTTAGGAAACACTGCTTTTGTAGAATCTGGAAGTGGACATTTGGAGCCCTTTGTGGCCTATGGTAGAAAAGGAAATACCTTCACATAAAATCTAGACAGAAACAATCTGAGAAACCTTTTGCGATGTGTGCCTTCATCTCACAGAGTTAAACCTTTCTTTTGATTGAGGAGTTTTCAAAATCTCCTTTTATACAATCTGCAAGTGGACATTTGGAGCCCTTTGAGGCCTATGGTTGAAACGGAAATATCTTCACATAAAAACTAGACAGAAGAATTCTGAGAAACTTATTTGTAATTTGTGCATTCATCTGACAGAGTTAAAACTTTCTTTTGATTAAGCAGTTTTGAAATAAACTTTTTGTGGAATCTGAAAGTGGACCTTTCAAGCACCTTGACACCTATGGTGGAAAATGAAATATCTTCACACAAAAACTAGACAGAAAAATTCTGAGAAACTTCTTTGTGATGTGTGCATTTATCTCACAGAGTTAACCGTTTCTTTTGATTGAGCACTTTGGAAACTCTCTTTTTGCAGAACCTGCAAGTGGAAATTTGGAGTGCTTTGAGGCTTATGGTGGAAAAGGAAATATCTTCACGTAAAAACTAGATAGAAGCATTCTGAGAAACTTCTTTGTGATGTGTGCATTCATCTCCCAGAGTTGAACCTTTCTCTTGATGGACCAGTTTTGAAATACTCTTTTTGTAGAAACTGCAAGGGGACATTTCGATCGCCTTGAGGCCTCTGGTCCAAAAGGAAATATCTTCACGTTAGAACTAGACAGAAGAATTCTGAGAAACTTCTTTGTGATGTGTGCGTTCATCTCACAGAGTTAACCTTTCTTTTGATTGAGCAGTTTGGAAGCACTCTTTTTGTAGAATCTACAGGTGGACATCTGGAGCAGTTTGCAACATATGGTAGAAAAGGAAATATCATCACAAAAAATCTAGACAGAAGAAATCTTAGAAACTTCTTCGTGAAGTGTGTATTCATATCACAGAGATAAACCTTCTTTTGATTGAGCAGTTTTGAAACTCTCTTTTTGTAGATTTTGCAAGTGGAAATTTTGATCACTTTGAGACCTATGGTGGAAAAGGAAATGTCTTCTCATAAAAACTAGACAGAAGTATTTTAAGAAACTTCTTGGTGATGCGTGCATTCATCTCACAGAGTTGAACCTTTCTTTTGATTGAGCAGTTTTGAAACATTCTTTTTGTAGAATCTGCAAGGGGACATTATAAGTGCTTCGGGTTCTATGGTAGAAAAGGAAATAACTTCACATAAAGTCTAGACAGAAGTAATCTGAGAAACTTTTTGTGATGTGTGCTTCAACTCACAGAGTTAAACCTTTCTTTTGATTGAGCACTTTAGAAACTCTCTTTTTGTAGAATCTGCAGGTGGACGTTTGGAGCACTCTGAATCCTATGTTGGAAAAGGAAATACCATCACATAAAAACTAAACAGAAGAATTCTAAGAAACTTCTTTGTGATGTGTGAGTTCATCTCACAGAGTTGAGTCTTTCTTTTGATTGAGCAGTTTGGAAATACTCTTTTTGTAGAATCTACAGGTGGACAATTAGAGCACTTTGTGTCCTATGGTAGAAAAGTAAATAACTTCACATACAATCTAGACAGAAGCAATGTGAGAAACTTACTTGTGATGTGTACATTCATCACAGAGTTACACCTTTCTTTTGATTGCTCAGTTTTGAAACTCTCTTTTTGTAGAATCTTCAAGTGGACAATTGGAGCGCTTTGAGGCCCATGGTGCAAAAGGAAATATCATCACTTAAAAACTAGATAGAAGAATTCTGAGAAACTTCTTTGTGATGTGTGCATTCATCTCACAGAGTTAAACCTTTCTTTTGATTGAGCAGTTTGGAAACACTCTTTTTGTAGAATCTGCACGTGCACATTTGGAGAGCTATGCGGTCTATGGTAGAAAAGGAAATATCTTCGCATAAAATCTAGACAGAAGTAGTCTGAGAATATTCTTTTTGATGTGTGCATTCTTGTCACAGAGTGAAACTTTTCCTTTCATTGAGCAGTTTCGAAATTCTCTTTTTGTAGAATCTGCAAGTTGACATTTGGAGTGCTTTTAGGCCTATGGAAGAAAAGGAAATATCTTCACATAAAAAGTAGACAGAAGAATTCTGAGAAAATTCTTTGTGATGCCAGCGTTCATCTGACAGAGTTGAACCTTTCTTTTGATTGAGCAGACGGGAAACACTCTTTTTGTAGAATCTGCAAGTGAACATATGGAGCGCTTTGAGGCCTATGGTAGAAAAGGAATTATCTTCACATAAAATCTAGACAGAAACAATCTGAGGAAGCTTTTTTTGTTGTGTGCATTCATCTCACAGAGTTAAACATTTCTTTTGATTGAGCAGTTTTAAAACTCTCTTTTTATAAAATCTGCATGTGGACATTTGGAGCTCCTCGAGGCTTATGGTGCAAAGGAAAATATATTCACATAAAAACTAGATAGAAGCATTCTGAACAACCTCTTGGTGATGTGTGTATTCATTTCCCAGAGTTGAACATTTCTATTGATGGACCAGTTTTGTAATAATCTTTCTGTATAACTTGCAATTGGTCATTTGGAGTGCCTTGAGGCCTATTGTGGAAAATGAAATATCTTCACAACAAAACTAAAAAGAAGTATTCTGAGCGACTTCTATGTGATGTGTGTGTTCATCCCACAGAGCTGAACCATTCTTTAGATTGAGAAGTTTGGAAACCCTCTTTTTGTAGAATCTGCAAGTGGACATTTGGAGCTCTTTGCCACCTATGGTAGTAAAAGGACTACCTTCAAATCAAATCTAGACATAAGCAATCAGAGAAACTTCTTTGTGATTTGTGCATTCACCTCAGAGAATTAAACCTTTCTTTTGATTGAGGAGTTCTGAAACTCTCTTTTCGTACAATCTGCAAGTGGATATTTGGAGGGCTTTAAGGCCTCTGTTGGAAAAGAGGCCTTACATAAAAACTTGATAGAAGCATTCTGACAAACTTCTTTGTGATATGTGTATTCATCTCCCAGAGCTGAAACATTCTTTCAAAGGACCAGTTTTGAAATACTCTTTTTATAGAATGTGCAAGTGGACATTTCGGGCGCCTTGAGGCCTATGTTTAAAAAGGAAATATCTTCACATAAAAGCTAGAAAGAAGAATTCTGAGAAACTGCTTTTTGATGTGTGCATTCATCTCACAGAATTGAACCTTTCTTTTGATTCAGCAGTTTGGAAACACTCTTTATGTAGAATCGGCAAGTGGACATTTGGAGTGCTTTGTGGCCTATGATAGAAAAGGAAATATTTTCACATAAAATCTAGACCGAAACAATCTGAGAAACTTCTTTGTAATGTGTGCATTCATCTCACAGAGTTAAACCTTTCTTTTGATTGAGCACTTTAGAAACTCTCTTTTTGTAGAATCTGCAGGTGGACGTTTGGAGCACTCTGAATCCTATGTTGGAAAAGGAAATACCATCACATAAAAACTAAACAGAAGAATTCTAAGAAACTTCTTTGTGATGTGTGAGTTCATCTCACAGAGTTGAGTCTTTCTTTTGATTGAGCAGTTTGGAAATACTC
>NT_187438.1:0-3253 GCF_000001405.40 Homo sapiens
AGATATTTTCTTTTCCAAAATAGACCTCAAAGCCCTGCAAATATCAACTTCCAGATTCTACAAAAGTGGTGTTTCAAAACTGCTCAATCAAAAGAAAGTTTCAACTCTGTGAGATGAATGTACACATCACAAAGAAGTTTCTCAGAATGCTTCTGTGTAGTTTTTATTTGAAGATATTTCCTTTTCCACCATAGGCCTCAAAGGGCTCCCAATATCCACTTCCAGATTCTACAAAAAGAGTGTTTCAAAACTGAACCATCAAAAGAAAGGTTTAACACTATGAGATGAATGCACACATCACAAAGATGTATCTCAGAATGCTTCTGTCTAGTTTTTATGTGAAGATATTTGCTTTTCCACAGTAGGTCTCAAAGCACTCCAAATATCCACTTGCAGATTCTAAAAAAAGAGAGATTCTAAACTACTCCATCAAAAGATAGGTTCAGCTCTGTGAGTTGAATTCACACATCACAAAGAAGTTTCTCAGAGTGCTTCTGTGTTGTTTTTATGTGAAGATATTTCCTTTTCCACAGTAGACCTCAAATCGCTCTAAGTATCCACTTGCAGATTCTACAAAAAGAGTGTTTCCAAACTGCTCAATCATAAGATAGGTTCAACTCTGAGAGCTGAATGCACACATCCCACAGAAGTTTCTCAGAATGCTTCTGTGTAGTTTTAATTTGAAGATATTTCCTTTTCCAAAACAGGCCTCAAAGCTCTCCAAATATCCACTTGATGATTCTGCAAAAAGAAGATTTCAATAGTACTCAATAAAAAGAAAGATTAAACTCTGTGTGAGGAATGCATTCATCACAAAGAAGTCTCTCTGAATGCTTCTGTGTAGTTTTTATATGAACATATTTACTTCTACACCACAGGGTGCAAAGAGCTCCAAACTTCCACTTGCAGATTCTACAAAAAGAGATATTCAAAACTGTACAATGAAAAGATAGTTTCAATTCTGCATGTTCAATGCACACATCACAAAGAACTTTCTCTGAATGCTTCTGTGTAGTGTTTGTTTATGTGAAGATATCTGCTTTTCCACTATAGGGTGAAATAGGGCTCCAAATATCCACGTGCAGATTTTGCAAAAAGGAGATTCAAAGCATCTCAATCAAAAGATAACTTCAACTATGTGAGTTGAATGCACACAAAACAAAGAAGTTTCTCAGAATGCCTCTGTGTAGTTTTTATGTGAAGATATTTGATTTTCCACATTAGGCCTCAAAGCGCTCCAAATATCCACTTGCAGATTCTACAAAAAGAGTGTTTCAAAACTGCTCAATCAAAAGAAACGTCCAACACTGTGAGATGAATGCACACATCACGCAGAAGTTTCTCAGAATGCTTCTGTGTAGTTTTTATGTGAAGATATTTGCTTTTCCACGAAGCCCTCAAAGCGCACCAAATATCCACTTGCAGTTTCTACAAAATGAGTGTTTCAAGACTGCTCAGTCATTAGATAGGTTCAACCCTGTGAGAAGAATGCACACATCACCAAGAAATTTTTCAGAATGCTTCTATGTAGTTTTTATTTGAAGGTATTTCCTTTTCCACCAAAGGTAGCAAAGGGCTCCAAATATCCACTTGCTGATTCTACAAAAAAAAATATTTTAAACTGCTCAATCAAAAGATAGGTTCAACTCTGTGAGTTGAATGCACACATCACAAAGTAGTTTCTCAGAATGCTTCTGTTTAATTCTTATGTGAAGATACTTGCTTTTTTATAGTAAGCCTCAAAGGGCTTCAAATGTCCACTTGCAGATTCTGCAAAAGGAGAGTTTCAAATCTCCTCATTCAAAAGATAAGTTCAACTCTGTGAGTTGAATGCACACATCACAAAATAGTTTTTCAGAATCCTTTTGTGTAGTTCTTATGTGAAGATATTTGATTTTCCACAGTAGACCTCAAAGTGCTCCAAATATCTACTTTCAGAATCTACAAGAAGAGAGATTCAAAACTGCTCCATCAAAAGATAGGTTCACCTCCGTGACTTGAATGCACACATCACAAAGATGTTTCTCAGAATGCTTCTGTGTAGTTTTTATATGAAAATATCTCCTTCTCCAAAATAAGCCTCAAAGCCCTCCAAATATTCACTTGCAGATTCTACGAAAAGAGTCTTTCAAAACTACTCAATCCAAAGAAAGGTTCAAGTCTGTGTGATGAAGGCACTCATCACAAAGAAGTTTCTCTGAATGCTTCTGTGTATTTTGTATTTGAAGATATTTCCTTTTCCACCATAGGGCTCATAGGGCTCCAAATATCCACTTGCAGATTCTACATAAAGATTCTAAACTGCTCAATCAAAAGATAGTTTCAACTCTGAGTTGAATGCACACATCAAAAAGAAGTTTCTCAGAATGCTTCTGTGTAGATTTATGGGAAGATATTTCAATTTCCACAATAGGCTCCAAATCGCTCCAAATATCCACTTGCACATTCTACAAAAAGAGTGTTTCAAAACTGCTCAATCAAAGGAAACCTTCAACACTTTAGATGAATGCACACATCACAAAGAAGTTTCTCTGAAAGTTTCTGTGTAGTTTTTAGAAAAGATATTTTCTTTTCCACCATAGGCCTCAAAGCTCTCCAAGTATCCACTTGCAGATTGTACATAAAGATTGTTTCAAAACTGCTCAATCAAAAGAAAGTTTCAACTCTGTGAGATGAATGCACACATGACAAAGAAATTTCTCTGAATGCTTCTGTTTAGTTTTTATCTGAAGATATTTCCTTTTCCACCATAGGACACAAAGCGCTCCAAATATCTACTTGCAGATTCTACAAAAACTGTGATTCCAAACTGCTCATCAAAAGAAATATTCAACTCTCTGAGATGAAAGCACACATCAATAAGAAGTTTCTCAGAATGCTTCTGAGTAGCTTTTATGTGAAGATATTTATTTTTCCACAGAAGGTTGTAAAGGGATCCAGATATCCACTTGCAGATCCTACAAAAAGGGAGTTTCAAAACTGCTCCACCAAAAGACAGCTGCAACTCTGTCAGTTGAATGCACACATTACAAAGAAGTTTCTCAGAATGCTACTGTGTAGTTTTTATGTGAAGATATTGCCTTTTCCACAACAGGACTCAAAGCACTCCAAACATCCACTTGCAGATTCTACAAAAAATGTGTTTCTAAACTGCTCTATCAAGAGACTAGTTCAACACTGTGAGTTGAATGCAAACAACACAAAAAAGTTCGTCAGAATGCTTCTATGTAGTTTTTATGTGAAGATATTTTTT
>NT_187439.1:0-1899 GCF_000001405.40 Homo sapiens
CTGCTCTATCAAAAGAAAGGTTCAACACTGTTAGGTGAGAACACACATCCCAAACAAGTTTCTGAGAATCCTTCTGTCTACATTTTATGGGAAGATATTTCCTTTTTCACCATAGGACTCAAAGCGCTCCAAATGTACACTTCCGGATACTATAAAAAGAATGTTTCAAACCTGCTCTGTGAAAGGTCATGTTCAACACTGTGACTTGAATGCAAACCTCATAAAGAAGCTTCTGAGGATGCTTCTTCTTTTTATAGAGAGATATTCCCGTTTCCAAAGAAATCCTCAAAGCCATCCAATTATACACTTGCAGATTCCACAAAAAGCGTGTTTCAAAACAGGTCTACCATAAGGAAGGTTCACCTCTGTTAGTTTCGTACACACATCAGGAACAAGTTTCTGAGAGTGCTTCAGTCTAGTTTTTATGGGAAGAATTTTTGTTTTTCACCATAGGCCTCAATCGCTCCAAAGGTCCACTTCCAGATACTATAAAAAGAGGGTTTCCAACCTGCTATATGAAATGGAATATTGAACTCTGTGACCTGAATGCAAACATCACCAAGTAGTTTCTGAGAATACTTCTGTCTAGATTTTATATGAAGCTATTCCCGTTTCCAAGGAAATCCTCAAATCTATCCAAATATCCACTTGCAGATTCTTCTAAAAGAGAGATTGAAAACTGCTCTATTAAAAGAAAGCTTCAACACTGTTAGTTGAGTACACACATGACAAACAAGTTTCTGAGAATGCTTCTGTCTAGTTTTTAGGGGAGAATGTTTCCTTTTTCACCGTAGGCCTCACAGCGCTCCAAATTTCCACTTCCATACACAGCAAAAGAGTGTTTCAAACCTGCTCCATGGAAGGGAATGTTCAACCCTGGGACTTCAATGCATACATCACAAAGAAGTTTCTGAAAATGCTTCTGTCTACTTTTCATATAAAGATATTCCCGTTTCCTCTGAAATCCTCAAAGCTATCCAAATATCCACTTGCAGATTCTACAAACAGAGTGTTCCCGATCTGCTCTATCAAACGAAAGGTTCAACTCTGTTAGTTGAGTAGACACATGACAAACAAGTTTCTGAGAATGCTTCTGTCTAGTTTTTAAGGGAAGAGAATTCCAATTCCACCGTGGGCCTCAAAGCGCTCCAAATGTCCACATCCAGATACTACAAAAAGAGTGTTTCAAACCTGTTCTATGAATGGGAATGTTCAACTCTGAAACTTGAATGGAAACATCACAAAGTCGTTTCCCAGAAGGCTTCCGTCTCCTTTTTATCTGAAGATAATCCCGTTTCCAACGAAATCCTCAAAGCTATCCAAATATCCACTTGCAGATTTTACAAAAAGTGTGTTTGAAAGCTGCTCTATCAAAAGAAAGGTTCAACACTGTTAGTTGAGTACACACATCCCAAACAAGTTTCTGAGAATCCTTCTGTCTACATTTTATGGGAAGATATTTCCTTCTTCACCATAGGACTCAAAGCGCTCCAAATGTACACTTCCGGATACTAAAAAAAGAATGTTTCAAACCTGCTCTGTGAAAGGGAATGTTCAAATCTGTGACTTGAATGCCAACCTCATAAAGAAGTTTCTGAGCATGCTTCTTCTTTTTATAGAGAGATATTCCCGTTTCCAACGAAATCCTCCAAGCCATCCAAGTATCCACTTGCAGATTCCACAAAAAGCGTGTTTCAAAACTGCTCTATCAAAAGAAAGGTTCAACTCTGTTAGTTGAGTACACACATCAGGAACAAGTTTCTGAGAGTGCTTCAGTCTAGTTTTTATGGGAAGAATTTTTGTTTTTCACCACAGGCCTCAATCGCTCCAAAGGTCCACTTCCAGATACTATAAAAAGAGGGTTTCCAACCTGCTCTATGAAATGGAATATGAACTCTG
>NT_187440.1:0-2983 GCF_000001405.40 Homo sapiens
TCGATTCAGTTCCATGATGATTCTATTTGATTCAATTAGATGATGTTTCCATTCGATTCCATTCGATGATGATTCCATTGGAATCCATTCAACGATGATTCCCTTTGAGTCCATTCGATGATGATTCCATATGAGTCCGTTTGATGATGATTCTATTTGATTTCATTCAATGCTTCTATTCGATTCCATTCAATGATGATTCCGTCTGATTCCATTCTATGATTCCATTCGATTCCATTCGATGCTTCTATTCGATTTCATTCGATGATGATTCCATTCAATTCCATTTGATAATTCCATTTGATTCCATTTGATGATGATTCCATTCGAGTCCATTCGATGATTCCATTCAAGTCCGTTAGATGATTCCGTTTGATTCCATTATATGATTCCACTCCAGTCCATTCAATTATTCCATTCGAGTCCATTCGATGATTCCATTCGATTCTGTTCAGTGATGATTCCATTCGATTCCATCTGAAGATGATTTCATTTGATTCCATTCTATGATGATTCCACTAGAGTCCATTGAATGATTCTATTTGATTCCATTCGATGCTGATTCCATTCAAATCCATTCGATTATTCCATTCAACTCCCTTCATTGATTCCATCCGATTCCATTTGATGATGATTCCATTCAGGTCCAATCGATGATTCCATTCAGTTCCATTCCATGATTCCATTCGAGTCCATTTAATTATTACATTCGTGTCCATTTGATGACTCTATTTGATTCCATTCAATGATGATTCCATTTGATTCCATTTGATGATCTCGTTTGATTCCTTTCAATGATTCCTTATGATTTCTTTCTATGATGATTCCATTCGTTGATGATTCCATTCGATTCCATCTGATGATGATTTCATTTGATTCCATTCTATGATGATTCCACTCGAGTCCATTGAATGATTCTATTTGATTCCATTTGATGCTGATTCCATTCAAATCCATTCGATTATTCCATTCAACTCCCTTCGTTGATTCCATCCGATTCCATTTGATGATGATTCCATTCGAGTCCAATCGATGATTCCATTCGGTTCCATTCTATGATTCCACTCGAGTCCATTTAATTATTACAGTCGTGTCCATTTGATGACTCCATTTTATTCCATTCAAGGATGATTCCATTTGATTCCATTTAATGATCCCGTTCGATTCCTTTCAATGATTTCTTGTGATTCCTTTCTATGATGATTCCATTCGATTCCATTCGTTGATGATTCCATTCAATTCCATTCGTTGATGATTCCATTCGATTCCATTCTATGATGATTCCTTTCAATTCCCATTTTTGATGATTCCATTAGATTCCATTTGATGATAATTCCATTCGACTCCATTTGAAGATGATTCCATTTGATTTGTCGATGGTTCCATTCGATTCCATTGGATGATTAATCCATTTGATTCCATTCGATGATTCCATTTGACGATTCCATTTGATTCCATTTGACAATGAGCCATTTGATTCAATTCCATGATGATTCCATTTGATTCAATTCAATGATGTTGCCATTCAATTCCATTCGATGATGATTCCACTCGATTCCATTCCACGATGTTTCCTTTTGAGTCCATTCGATGATGTTTCCATTCGATTCCGTTTGACTATGTTTCAATTTGATTTCATTCAATACTTCTATTTGATTTCATTCGATGATGATTCCATCACTTTCCCTTCGATGATTCCATTCGATTCCATTCAGTGAGGTTTCCATTTGATTCCATCTGATGATGATTTCTTTTGATTCGTTTTGATGATGATTCCATTCGAGTCCATTCGATGATTCCATTGGACTCCAATTGATCATTCCATTTGATTCCATTCGATGATGATTCTATTCATGTCCATTCGATGATTCCATTCGATTTCATTTGATGATGATTCCACTCGTGTTCATTTGATGATTCCATTCAATTACATTTGATGATGACTCCATTTGAGTCGATTTGATGATTCCATTCAATTCCATTCAATGACAATTCCATTCGAGTCCATTTGATGAATCCATTCGATTCCATTCAATGATGATTCCATTCGAGTCCATTCGATGATTCCATCCAACTCAATTTGGTGATGATTCAATTCAATGACATTTGATAACTCCATTCAATTTCATTTGATGATGACTCCATTCGATTCCAATTGATGATTCCATTCGATTCCCTTCGATGATGATTATATTTGAGTGCATTTGGTGATTCTATTCCTTTCCATTCGATGATGATTCCATTTGATTCCATTCGATGATTATTGCTATCGATCCCATTCAGTGATTCCTTTTGATTCCATTAGAAGATTATTCCGTTAGATTCCATTAGACGATTACATTCGATTTTATTTGATGATTCCTTTCGATTCATTTCAATGGTGATTCCTTTAGACTCCATTCGATGATTCCATTCGAGTCCATTCGATGATTCCATTCAAGTCCATCTGACTATTCCATTCTTTTCCATTTGATGATGATTCCGTTAGGGTCCATTCGATGCTTCCATTCGAGTCCATTTGATAATTCCTTTCAAGTCCTTTTGATCACTCCATTCGAGTCCATTCGATGATTCTATTCAATTCCATTCGATGACGAATCCATTCGAGTCCATTCAATGATTGCATTCGAGTCCATTTGATGATTCCGTATGATTCCATTTGACAATGATTCCATTCATTTCCATTTGATGATTCCATTCATTTCCATTTGATGATGATTCCATTCGAGTGTATTTGATGATTCCATTCAAATCCGTTCATGATTCCATTTGAGTCCTTTTGATCATTCCACGTTATTCCATTCGATGACTATACCATTCAAATCCATTTGATGACTCCATTTGATTCCATTCGATGATACCATTTGAGTACATTCGATAATTCCATTTGATTCCATTTGATGATTATTCCATTGGAGTCCACTTAGTGAATCCTTTAGATTCCACTCAAAGATGATTCCATTCGATTCCATTGGATGAAACC
>NT_187441.1:0-2168 GCF_000001405.40 Homo sapiens
TAACTTCCTTGTGTTGTGTGTATTCAACTCACAGAGTTGAACGATCCTTTACACAGAGCAGATTTGAAACACTCTTTTTCTGGAATTTGCAAGTGGAGATTTCAGCCGCTTTGAGGTCAATGGTAGAAAAGGAAATATCTTCGTATAAAAACTAGACAGAATGATTCTCAGAAACTCCTTTGTGATGTGTGCGTTCAACTCACAGAGTTTAACCTTTCTTTTCATAGAGCAGTTAGGAAACACTCTGTTTGTGAAGTCTGCCAGTGGATATTCGGACCTTTTTGAGGCCTTCGTTGGAAATGGGATTTCTTCATATTATGCTAGACAGAAGATTTCTCAGTAACTACTTTGTGTTGTCTGTATGCAACTCACAGAGTTCAACCTTCCTTTAGACAGAGCAGATTTGAAACACTCTTTTTGTGGAATTTGCAAGTGGAGATTTCAAGCGCTTCGATGCCAATGGTAGAAAAGGAAATATCTTCGTATAAAAACAAGACAAAATCATTCCCAGAAACTGCGTAGTGATGTATGTGTTTAACTCACAGAGATTAACCTTTCTTTTCATACAGCATTCTGGAAACTCTCTGTTTGGAAAGTCTACAAGTGGATATTTGGAGCTCTTAGATGCCTTCTTTGGAAACGGAATTTCTTAATATAATTCTAGAGGGAAGAATTCTTAGTAACTTCTTTGTGTTATGTGTATTCAACTGACACAGTTGAACCTTCCTTTAGACAGAGCAGATTCGAAACACTCTTTATCTGGAATTTCCAAGAGGAGACTTCAAGCGCTTTCAGGCCAAAGGCAGAAAAGGCATTATCTTCGTATAAAAACTTGACATAATCATTCTCAGAAACTGCTCTGTGATGTGTGCGTTCAACTCACAGAGTTTAACTTTTCTTTTCATTCAGCAGTTTGGAAGCACTCTGTTTGTATAGTCTGCAAGTGGATATATTGACCACTTTGAGGCCTTCGTTGGAAACGGTTTTTTTTCATGTAAGGCTAGACAGAAGAATTCCCAGTAACTTCTTTGTGTTGTGTGCATTCAACTCACAGAGTTGAACGTTCCTTTAGACAGAGCAGATTTGAAACACTCTTTTTGTGCAATTTGCAAGTGGAGATTTCAAGCGCTTTGAGGTCAATGGCAGAAAAGGAAATAACTTCGTTTCAAAACTAGACAGTATCATTCCCACAAACTGCATTGTGATGTGTGCGTTCAACTCACAGAGTTTAACCTTTCTTTTCATAGAGCCGTTTGTAAGCGCTCTGTTTGTCAAGTCTGCAAGTGGATATTCTGACCTCTTTGAGGACTTCGTTGGAAACAGGATTTCGTCCTATAATACTAGACAGAAGAATTCTCAGTAACTTCCTTGTGTTGTGTGTATTCAACTCACAGAGTTGAACCATCTTTCACACAGAGCAGATCTGAAACACTCTTTTTGTGGAATTTGCAAGTGGAGATTTCAGCCACCTTGAGGTCAATGGTAGAAAAGGAAATATCTTCGTATAAAAACTAGACAGAATGATTCTCAGAAACTCCTTTGTGATGTGTGTGTTCAACTCACTGAGTTCAACCTTTCTTTTCATACAACATTCTGGAAACACTCTGTTTGTAAAGTCTGCAAGTGGATATCTGGACCTCTTAGATGCGTTCGTTGGAAACGGGATTTCTCCATATAATGCTAGAGGGAAGAATTCTTAGTAACTTCTTTGTGTTGTGTGTATTCAACTGACAGAGTTGAACCTTCCTTTAGACAGAGCAGATTTGAAACAATCTTTTTGTGGAATTTGCAAGTGGAGATTTCAAGCGCTTTGAGGCCAAAGGCAGAAAAGGAAATATTTTCCTATAAAAACTAGACAGAATCATTCTCAAAACTGCTCTGTGATGTGTGCGTTCAACTCACAGAGTTTAACTTTTCATTCAGCAGTTTGGAAACACTCTGTTTGTAAAGTCTGCAAGTGGATATTTTGACCTCTTTGAGGCCTTCGTTGGAAACGGGTTTTTTTCATGTCAGGCTAGACAGAAGAAATCTCAGTAACTTCCTTGTGTTGTGGGTATTCAACTGACAGAGTTGAACCTTCCTTTAGACAGAGCAGATTCGAAACATCTTTTTGTGCAATTTGCAAGTGGAGACATCAAGCGCCTTGAGGTCAAAGGCAGAAAAGGAAA
>NT_187442.1:0-993 GCF_000001405.40 Homo sapiens
GCCCCACGTCCGGGAGGGAGGTGGGGGTGTCAGCCCCCCACCAGGCCAGCCGCCCCGTCCGGGAGGGAGGTGGGGTCAGACCCCCGCCCGGCCAGCCGCCCCGTCCGGGAAGGGAGGGGCGTCTCTGCCCAGCCACCCCTACTGGGAAGTGAGGAGCTCCTCTGCCGGGCCAGCCACCCCGTCCGGGAGGGAGGTGGGGGGCTCAGCCCCCCGCCCGGCCAGCCGCCCCGTCCGGGAGGGAGGTGGGGGGGCCAGCCCCCCGCCCGGCCAGCCACCCCGTCCGGGGAGTGAGGGGCGCCTCTGCCCGGCCGCCCCTACTGGGAAGTGAGGAACTCCTCTGTCCGGCCAGCCGCCCCGTCCGGGAGGGAGGTGGAGGGGTCAGCCCCCCCGCCCGGCCAGACGCCCCGTCTGGGAGGGAGGTGGGGGGGTCAGCCCCACGTCCGGGAGGGAGGTGTGGGGGGGTCAGCCCCCTGCCAGGCCAGCCGCCCCGTCCGGGAGGGAGGTGGGGTCAGCCCCCCGCCCGGCCAGCCGCCCCGTCCGGGAGGTGAGGGGCGCCTCTGCCCAGCCGCCCCTACTGGGAAGTGAGGAGCCCCTCTGCCGGGCCAGCCACCCCGTCCGGGAGGGAGGTAGGGGGCTCAGCCCCCCGCCCGGCCAGCCGCCCCATCCGGGAGGGAGGTGGGGGGTCAGCCCCCCGCCCGGCCAGCCACCCCGTCCGGGGGGTGAGGGGCGCCTCTGCCCGGCCGCCCCTACTGGGAAGTGAGGAACCCCTCTGCCCGGCCAGCCGCCCCCTCCGGGAGGGAGGTGGGGGGGTCAGCCCCCCGCCCGGCCAGCCGCCCTGTCTGGGAGGGAGGTGGGGGGGTCAGCCCCCCGCCCGGCCAGCCGCCCCATGCGGGAGGTGAGGGGCGCCTCTGCCTGGCCGCCCCTACTAGGAAGTGAGGCGCCCCGCTGCCCGGCCAGCCGCCCCGTCCGGGAGGGAGGTGGGGGGTCAGCCCT
>NT_187443.1:0-4703 GCF_000001405.40 Homo sapiens
CTTTTGAGAGCAGTTTTGAAACAGTCTTTTTGAAGTATCTGCAAGTGGATGTTTGGAGAGATTTGAGGCCTAAGATGGAAAAGGATATATCTTCACCTAAAAACTAGGCAGAAGCATTCTCAGAAACTGCTTTGTGATGTGGGGATTCAACTCACAGGCTTGAAACTTTCTTTTGATACAGCAGGGTTCAAACACACTTTTTGTAGAATCTGCAAGTGTTCATTTGGAGTGCTTTCTTGCCCATGGTGGAAAAAGAAATATCTTCACCTGAAAACTAGACAGAAACTTTCTCAGAAAATACTTTGTGATGTAGTTGTTCAATTCACAGGGTTGAACCTTTCTTTAGATAAAGCAGTTTTGAAACACTGCTTTTGTAGAATCTTCTTGTAGATATTTGGAGCTGTTTGAGGAATTCGTTTTAAACAGGATATCTTCACATTCAAACTAGTCAGAAGCATTCTCAGAAACTGGTTTGTGATGTGTGCATTCTACTCAGAGAGATGAACCTTCCTTTTGAGAGAGCAGTTTTGAAACAATCTTTTTGTATTCTCTACAAGTGGAAACTTGGAGCAATGGGAGGACTAAGATTGAAGAGGAAATATCTTCACAGCCAAACTTGACAGTAGCTTTCTCAGAATCTACTTTGTGATGTGTGCATTCACCTCACAGAGTGGAACCGTCCTTTTGATAGAGCAGTTCTGAAACAGTCTTTTTGTAGGATCTGCGAGTGTTCATTTTAGAGCGCTTTTAAGCGTTTGGCGGAAAAGGAAATATCTTCACAAAAAACTAGACAGAGGCATGCTCAGGAACTTCACTGAGATGTGTGCATTCAAGTAACTGAGTTGAATCTGCCTTTTGATAGAGCAGAATTGAAACACTCCTTTTGTAGAATCTGCTTGTGGATATTTGGAGCTCTTTGAGGAATTCGTTGTAAACGGGATATCTTCACATACAAACTAGACAGAAGCATTCTCAGTAACTGCTTTGTGGTGTGTGCATTCAACTCACAGAGTTGAACCTTCCTTCTGAGAGAGCAGTTTTTAAACAGTCTCTTTGAAGTATCTGCAAGTGGATATTTGGAGCGATGGGAAGTCTAAGATTGAAAAGGAAATATCCTCACTTACAAACTAGACAGAAGTAATCTCATTAACTGCTTTGTGATGTGTGCATTCAGCTCACAGAATTGAACCTTCCTTTTGAGAGAGCAGTTTTGAAACAGTTTTTTGTAGTATCCTCAAGTGGATATATGGAGCGATGTGAGGCTTAAGGTGGAAACGGGAATATCTTCACATACAAACTAGATAGAAGCATTCTCAGAAACTGCTTTGTGATGGGTGCATTCAACTCAGAGACTTGAACATTTCTTTAGACGGTGCAGTGTTGATACACACATTTGTAGAATCTGCAAGAGTTCATTTGGAGCGCTTTGATGCCTATGGTGGAAAAAGAAATATCTTCACATAAACACTAAAAAGAAGCGTTCTCCGAAACTCCTTTGTGATATGTGTGTTCAATTCACAGAGTTGAACCTTTCTTTTGATTGAGCAGTTTTGAAACACTGCTTTTCTAGAATCTGCTTGTGGATATTTGGAGCTCTTTGAGGAATTCGCTGTCAATGGGATATCTTCACACACAAACTAGCCAGAAGCATTCTCAGAAACTGCTTTGTGATGTGTGCATTCAACACACGGAGTTGAACCTTCCTTCTGAGAGAGCAGTTTTGGAACAGTCTTTTTGTAGAATCTGCAAGTGGATATTTGGAGCGATTTGAGGCCTATGATGGAAAAGGAAATATCTTCACATAAAAAATAGACAGAAGCATTGTCAGAAACTGGTTTGTAATGTGCGCATTCAACTCACGGTCTTGAACCTTTCTTTTGATAGAGCAGTGAGGAAACACACTTTTTGTAGAATCTGCAAGTGTTCATTTGGAGAGGTTTGTTGCCTATGCTGGAAACAGAAATATCTTCACGCAAAAACTAGACAGAAGCAGTCTGAGAAACTGCTTTGTGTTGTGTGCATTCAACACACAGAATTGAACCTTCCTTTTGAGAGAGGAGTTTTGAGACAGTCTTTTTGTAGGATCTGCAAGTGTATATTTGGAGCGATTTGAGTCCTATGTTGAAAAGGAAATATCTTCCCATACAAAATAGACAGAAGCATTCTCACAAACTGCTTTGTGATGTGTGCACTCAGGTCACAGAGTAGAACCATTCTTTTGATAGAGCAGTTTTAAAACAGTCTTTTTGTAGGATCTGCAAGTGCTGATTTGGAGCGCTTTGAAGCCTATGTTGGAAAAGTAAATATCTTCACATAAAAATTAGACAGAAGCATTCTCAGGAACTTCAATGAGATGTGTGCATTCAACCAACGGAGTTGAATCTGTCTTTTGATAGAGCAGTATTGAAAAACTCATTTCGTAGAATCTGCTTGTGGATATTTGGAGCTCTTTTAGGAATTCGTTGTAAGCGGGATATCTTCTCACACTAATTAGACAAAAGCATTCTCAGAAACTGCTTTGTGATGTGTGCATTCAACTAACCGAGTTGTACCTTCCTTTTGAGATAGCCATTTTGAAACAATATTTTTGTAGTATCTGCAAGTGGATATTTGTAGTCATTTGAGGCCTAGGATGGAAAAGGATATACTTTCACATACAAACTAGACAGAAACATTTTCAGAAACAGGTTTCTGTTGTGTGCATTCAACTCACGGTATTGAACATTTCTTTTGATAGAGCAGTGATGGAACACACATTTGGAGAATCTGCAAGTGTTCATTTGGAGCGCTTTGTTGTCAATGGTGGAAAAAGAAATATCTCCACGCAAAAACTAGACAGAAGCATTTTCAGAAACTCCTTTGTGATGTGTGTTTTTAATTCAAAGAATTGAACTTTTCTTTTGATTGAGCACTTTTGAAACACTGCTTCTGTAGAATCTGCTTGTGGATATTTGGAACTCTCTGAGGAATTCGTTGTAAACGGGATATCTTCACATACAGACTAGACAGAAGCATTCTTAGAAACTTCTTTGTGATGTGTGCATTCAACTCACAGAGTAGAAACTTCCTTTTGAAAAGGCAGCTTTGAAACTGTCTTTTGGTTGTATCTGCAAGTGGATATTTGGAGCGATTTGTGGTCTATGATGGAAAGGGAAGTATCTTCACATACAAAGTAGACAGAGCCATTCTCAGAAAATGCTTTGTGATGTGGGCATTCACCTCACAGAGTTGAACCTTCCCTTTGAGAGAACAGTTTTGAAACTGTCTTTTTGTAGTATCTGCAAGTGGATATTTGTAGCGATTTGAGGCCTATGATGGAAAAGGAAATATCTTCACATAAAAACTAGAGAGAAGCATTCCCTGAAACTGCTTTGTGATGTGTGCATTCACCTCACGGAATGGAACCGTTCTTTTGATAGAGCAGTTTTGAAGCAGTCTTATTGTAGGATCTGCAAGTATTCATTTGGAGCGCTTTGAAGCCTGTGGTGGAAATGGAAATATCTTCACATAAAAACTAGACAGAAGCATTCTCAGGAACTTCATTGAGATGTGTGCATTCAACTAACAGAGTTGAAAGTGTCTTTTGACAGAGAAGTATTAAAACACTCCTTTTGTAGAATCTCCTTGTGGGTATTTGGAAGACTTTGAGGAATTTGTTGAAAACGGGTATCTTCACATAAAAAGTAGATCCATGCATTCTCCGAAAGTTCTTTGTGATGTGTGCATTGAACTCACAGACCTGAACGTTTCTTTTGATAGAATAGTGTTGAAACACACTTTTTGTAGAATCTGCAATTGTTCATTTGGTGCACTTTGTTGCCTATGGTGGAAAAAGAAATATCTTCCGATACAAACTAGACAGAAGCATTCTCAGAAACTGCTTTGTGATTTGTGCATTCAAATCACAGAGTTGAACCTTCTTTTTGAGAGAGAAGTTTTGAAACAGTCTTTTTGTGGTATCTGCAAGTGGATCTTAGGAACGATTTGTTGCCTATGGTGGATAAAGAAATATCTTCACATAAATACTAGACAGAAGCATTCTCAGATCTGTGTGTCCTTTTCAAAGGACATTCTCAGATCTGTTTGCCTTTGTGATCTGTGTGTCCAATTCAAAGAGTTGAAACTTTCTTTTGATAGAGCAGTTTTGAAACACTGCTTTTGCAGGATCTGCTTGTGGTTATTTGGAGCTCTTTGAGGAATTCGTTGTATACGGGATATCCTCACATACAAACTAGACAGAAGAATTCTCAGAAAATACTTTGTGATGTGTGCATTCAACTCACACAGTTGAACTTTCCTTTTGAGAGAGAGGTTTTGAAACAGTCTTTCTGTAGTATCTGCAAGTGGATATTTGGAGTGATTTGAGGCCTAAGATGGAAGAGGAAATATCTTCATATACAAACTAGACAGAAGCATTCTCAGAAACTGCTTTGTGATGTGTGCGTTCAACTCACAGAATTCAATTTTCCTTTTGAGAGAACTGTGTTGAAACACTCTTTTCGCGGTAACTGCAAGTGGATACTTGCAGTGATTTTAGGCCTATGATGGAAAAGGAAATATCTTCACATACAAAGTAGATGGAAGCATTCTCAGAAAGTGCTTTGTGATGTCGGCATTCAACTCACAGAGTTGAACCTTCCCTTTGAGAGAGCTGTTTTGAAACAGTCATTTTGCAGTATCTGCAAGTGAATTTTGGAGCGATT
>NT_187443.1:14604-34114 GCF_000001405.40 Homo sapiens
AGAGATTTGAGGCCTATGATGGAAAAGGAAATATCTTCACATAAAAAGTAGACGGAAGCATTCTCAGAAACACCTTTGTGATGTGTGCATTCACCTCACAGATTGGAACCGTTCTTTTGATAGAGCAGTTTTGAGATAGTCTTGTTGTAGGATCTGCAAGTGTATATTTGGAGGGATTAGAGGCCTAAGATGGAAAAGGACATATCTTCACATAGAAACTACACAGGAGCATTCTCAGAAACTGCTTTGTGATGTGTACATTCAACTCACTGACTTGAACCTTTCTTTTGATAGAGCAGTGTTGAAACACACTTTTTGTAGAATCTGCAAGTGTTCACTTTGAGCGCCTTGTTGCCTATGGTGGAAAACGAAATATCTCCACATAAAAACTAGACAGAAACTTACACATCTGACAAAGGGCTAATATCCAGAATCTACAATGAACTCAAACAAATTTACAAGAAAAAAACAAACAGCCCCATTCAAAAGTGGGCAAAGGACATGAACAGACACTTCTCCAAAGAAGACATTTGTGCAGCCAAAAAACACATGAAAAAATGCTCATCATCACTCACCATCAGAGAAATGCCTATCAAAACCACAATGAGATACCATCTCACAGCAGTTAGAATGCTGTGAGAAATCATTAAGAAATCAGGAAACAACAGTTGCTGGAGAGGATGTGGAGAAAGAGGAACACTTTTACACTGTTGGTAGGACTGTAAACTAGTTCAACCATTGTGGAAGTCAGTGTGGCGATTCCTCAGGGATCTAGAACTGGAAATCCCATTTGACCCAGCCATCCCATTACTGGGTATATACCCAAAAGACTATAAATCATGCTGCTATAAAGACACATGCACACGTATGTTTATTGCGGCACTATTCACGATAGCAAAGACTTGGAACCAACCCAAATGTCCAACAATGATAGACTGGATTAAGAAAACGTGGCACATATACAACATGGAATACTATGCAGCCATAAAAAATGATGAGTTCATGTCCTTTGTAGAGACATGGATGAAATTGGAAATCATCATTCTCAGTAAACTATCGCAAGAACAAAAAAAGAAACACCGCATATTCTCACTCACAGGTGGGAATTGAACAATGAGATCACATGGACACAGGAAGGGGAATAACAGACTCTGGGGACTGTTGTGGGGGGGGAGGGGTGAGGGATAGCATAGGGAGATATGTCTAATGCTAGATGACGGGTTAGTGGGTGCAGCGCACCAGCATGGCACATGTATACATATGTAACTAACCTGCACAATGTGCACATGTACCCTAAATCTTAAAGTCTAATAACAGAAAAAAAAAGAAAAATGTTCACACACACACACAAAAAAAGAACTAGACAGAAGCATTCTCAGAAACTTATTTGTGATGTGTGTGTTCAATTCACATAGTTGAACCTTTCTTTTGATAGAGCAGTTTTGAAACACTGCTTTTGTAGTATCTGCTTGTGGATATATGGAGCTCTTTAAGGAATTCGTTGTAAACGAGTTATCTTCACATACAAGCTAGACAGAAGCATTCTCAGAAACTGCTTTTGATGTGTGCTTCAACTCACAGAGTTTAAACTTCCTTTTGAGAGAGCAGTTTTGAAACAGTCTTTTTGTAGTATCTGCAAGTGGATATTTGGAGTGATTTGAAGCCTATGATGGAAAAGGATATATCTTCACATAAAAACTAGACAGAAGCATTCTCAGAAACTGCTTTGTGATGTGTGCATTCATCTCACAGAGTGGAACCGTTCTTTTGATAGAGCAGTTTTGAAACAGTCTTTTTGTAAGTTCTGCAAGTGTTCATTTGGAGAGCTTTGAAGCCTATGGTGGAAAAGGAATTTTCTTCACGTAAAATCTAGACAGAAGCATTCTCAGGAACTTCATTGAGATGTGTGCATTCAACTAACAGAGTTGAATCTGTCTTTTGATAGAAGAGTATTGGAACACTCCTTTTGTAGAATATGCTTGTGGATATTTGGAACTCTTTGAGGAATTCTTTGGAAACTGGTATCTTCACATAAAAAGTACGCCCAAGCATTCTCAGTAAGAGGTTGTTATGTTTGCAATCATCTCACAGACTTGAACCTTTCTTTTGATAGAGCAGTGTTGAAATGCACTTTTTGTAGAATCTGCATGTGTTCATTTGGAGCGCTTTGTTGCCAGTGGTGGAAAAAGAAATATCTTCATATAAAAACTAGATAGAAGCATTTGCAGAAACCCCTTTGTGATGTGTGTGTTCAATTCACAGAGTTTAACCTTTCTTTAGATAGAGCAGTTTTGAAACACTGCCTTTGTAGGATCTGCTTGTGGATATTTGGAGCTCTTTAAGGAATTCGTTGTAAACGGGATAACTTCACATACAAACTAGACAGAAGCATTCTCAGAAACTGCTTTGTGACGTGTGCATTCAACTCACAGAGTTGAACCTTCTTTTTGAGAGATCAATTTTGAAACAGTCTGATTGTATTATCTGCAAGTGGATAATTGGAGCGACTTGAGGCCTAAGATGGACAAGGAGATAGCTTCACATACAAACTAGACAGAAGAATTCTCAGAAACTTCTTTGTGATGTGTGCATTCAACTCATTGTCTAGAACAATTCTTTTGATAGAGCAGTGTTGAAACAGCCTTCTTGTGGAATCTGCAAGTGTTCATTTGGAGAGCTTTGTTGCCTATTCTGGAAAAAGAAACATCTTCACATAAAAACTAGACAGAAGCATTCTCAGAGACTCCTTTTTGATATGTGTGTTCCATTCACAGAGTTGAACCATTCTTTTGATAGAGCAGTTTTGAAACACTGTTTTTGTAGCATCTGCTTGTGGATATTGAAGCTCTTTCTGGAATTCGTTGTAAACGGGATATCTTCACATACAAACTAGACAGAAGCATTCTCAGAAACTACTTTGTGATGTGTGCATTCAACTCACAGAGTTGAGCCTTCCTTTTGAGAGAGCAGTTTTGAAACAGTCTTTTTGTAGTATCTGCAAGTGGATATTAGGAGCGATTTGAGGCCTATGATGAAAAAGGAAATATCTTCACATACAACGAGACAGAAGCATTCTCAGACACTGCTTTGTGATGTGTGCATTCAACTCACAGTGTTGAAGCTTCCTTTTGAGAGAGCAGTTTTGAAACAGTCTTTTTGTAGTGGCTGCAAGTGGATATTTGGAGCGATTTCAGGCCTGTGATGGAAAAGGAAATATCTTCACATAAAAACTAGACAGAATCATTCTCAGAAACTGCTTTGTGATGTGTGCATTCACCTCACAGAGTGGAACCGTTCTTTTGATAGATCAGTTTTGAAACAGTCTTTTTGTAGGATCTGCAAGTGTTCATGTGGAGTGCTTTGTAGCCAAAGATGAGAACGGAAATATCTTCACGTAAAAACTAGACAGAAGCGTTCTCAGGAACTTCATTGAGATGTGTGCATTCAACTGACAGAGTTGAAACTGTCTTTTGATAGAGCAGTATTGAAACACTCCGTTTGTAGTATCTGGTTGTGGATATTTGGAACTCTTTGAGGAATTCATTGGAAACCGGTATCTTCACATAAAATATAGACCCAAGCATTCTCTGAAATTTATTTCTGATGTGTGCATTCAACTAACAGACGTGAACCTTTTCTTTGACAGAGCAGTGATGAAACACACTTTTTGTGGAATCTGCAAATTTTCATTTCGTGTGCTTTGTTGCCTACGGTTGAAAATAATATCTTCACATAAAAACTAGACAGAAGCATTCTCAGAAACTCTTTGGATGTGTCTGTTCAATTCACAGAGTTAAACCTTTCTTTTTATAGAGCAGTTTTGAAACACTACTTTTGTGGAATGTGCTTGTGGAGATTTGGAACTGTGAGAAATTAGTTGTAAACGAGATATCTTCACATACAAACTAGACAAAAGCATTCTCAGAAACTGCTTTGTGATGTGTGCATTCAAGTCACAGAATTAAATCTTCCTTTTGAGAGAGGAGTTTTGAAACAGTCTTTTTGTAGAATCTGCAAGTGGATATTTGCAGCGATTTGAGGCCTATGATGGAAAAGGAAATTTCTTCACATAAAAACTAGACGGAAGCATTCTCAGAAACTTCTATGTGATGTGTGCATTCACCACACAGAGTGGAACCGTTCTTTTGATAGAACAGTTATGAAACAGTCTTTTTGTAGGATCTGCAAGTGTTAATTTGGAGCGCTTTGAAGCCTATACTGGGAAAGGAAATATCTTCACATAAAAACTAGATAGAAGCATTCTCAGGAACTTCATTGAGATGTGTGCATTCAACTAACAGAGCTGAATCTGTCTTTTGATAGAGCGGTACTGAAACACTCCTTTTGTAGAATATGCTTGTGGATATTTGGAACTCTTTGAGGAATTTTTGGAAACAGGTATACTCACATAAAAAGTAGTCCCAAGCATTCTCAGAATGTTCTTCATGATGTGTGCATTCAACTCATTGACTTGAACCTTTCTTTTGACAGAGCAGTGTTGAAACACACTTTTTGTAGAATATGCAATTGTTCATTTGGAGCGCTTTGTTGCCTCTGGTGGAAAAAGAAATATCTTCACATAAAAACTACACAGAAGTATTCTCAGAAACTCCTTTGTGATGTGTGTGTTCAATTCACAGCGTTGAACCTTTCTTTTGAGAGAGCAGTTTTGAAACAGTCTTTTTGAAGTATGTGCAAGTGGATATTTGGAGCGATATGAGGCCTATAATGGAAAAGAAAATATCTTCCATACAAACTAGACAGAAGCATTCCCAGGAACTGCTTTGTGATGTGTGCATTCACCTCACAGACTTGAACCTTCCTTTTGAGAGTGCAGTGTTGAAACATTCTTTTTGTAGTATCTGCAAGTGGATATTTGGAGCGATTTGAGGCCTATGATGGAAAAGGAAATAACTTCACATAAAAACTAGACAGAAGCATTCTCAGAAACTGCTTTGTGATGTGTGCATTCATCTCACAGTGTGGAACCGTTCTTTAGATACAGCAGTTTTGAAACACTCTTTTTGTAGGACCTGCAAGTGTTCATTTGGAGCGCTTTGAAGTCTATGGTGGAAAAGGGAATATCTTCTCGTAAAAAATAGACAGAAGCATTTTCAGGAACTTCATTGAGTTGTGTGCATTCTACTAACAGAAGTGAATCTGTCTTTTGATAGAGCAGTACTGAAACACTCCTTTTGTGGAATCTGCTTGTGGATATTTGGAACTCTTTGAAGAATTCGTTGCAAACGGGTAAATTCACATGCAAAGTAGACAGAAGCATTCTCAGAAACTGCTTTGTGATGTGTGCACTCAACTTACAGACTTGCACCTTTCTTTTGATAGAGCAGTGTTGAAACACACTTTTTGTAGTATCTGCAAGTGTTCATTTGGAGCGCTTTGTTGCCAATGCTGTAAAAAAAATCTTCACATAAAAACTAGACAGAAGCGTTCTCAGAAACTCCTTTGTGATGTGTGTGTTCAGTTCACACAGTTGAACCTTTCTTTTGATAAAGCAGTTTTGAAACACTGCTTTTATAGAATCTGCTTGTGGATATTTTGAGTTCTTTGAGGAATTCGTTGTAAACGCGATATCTTCACATACAAACTAGACAGATGCATTCTCAGAAACTGCTTTGTGATATGTGCATTCAACTCACAGAGAGGAAACTACCTTTTGAGAGAGCAGTTTTAAAACTGTCTTTTTGTAGTATCTGCAAGTGGATATTTGGAGCACTTTGAGGCCTATGATGGAAAAGGAAATATCTTCACATAAAAACTAGGCAGAAGCATTCTCAGAAACTGCTTTTTGATGTGTGCATTCACCCCACAGAGTGGAACCGTTCTTTTGATAGAACAGTTTTGAAACAGTGTTTTTGTAGGACCTGCAAGTGTTCATTTGGAACGCTTTGAAGCCTATGGTGGAAAAGGAAATATCTTCACATAAAAATTAGACAGAAGCATTCTCAGGAACTTCATTGAGATGTGTGCATTCAACTAACTGAGTTGAATCTGTCTTTTGATAGAGCAGTATTGAAACACTCCTTTTGTAGAATCTGCTTGTGGATATTTGGAACTCTTTGGAGAATTCACGGGAAACGGGTATCTTCACAAAAAAGGAGACCCAAGCATTCTCACAAAGTTCTTTGTGATTTGTGCTTTCAACTCACAGACTTGAACATTTCTTTTGATAGGGCAGTGTTGAAACACTCTTTTTGCAGTATCTGGAAGTGTTCATTTGGATCGCTTTTTTGCCTATGGCGGAAAAATAAATATCTTCACATAAAAACTAGACAGAAGCATTCTCAGAAATTCCTTTGTGATGTGTGTTTTTAATTCACAGAGTCGATCCTTCCTCTTGAGAGAGCAGTTTTGAAACATTCTTTTTGTATTATCTCCAAGTGGATATTTGGGGCGATTTGAGGCCTATGATGGAAAAGGAAATATCTTCAAATAAAAACTAGACAGAAACATTCTCAGAAACTACTTTGGGTTGTGTGCATTCACCTCACAGAGTGGACTCGTTCTTTTGATAGAGCATTTTTGAAACAGTCTTTTTGTAGGATCTGCAAGTGTTCCTTTGGAGTGCTTTGAAGTCTATGGTGGAAAAGGAAGTATCTTCTCATAAAAATTAGACAGAAGCATTCTCAGGAACTTCATTGAGATGTGTGCATTCAACTAACAGGTTTGAATCTGTCTTTTGATAGGGGAGTATTGAAACACTCTTTTTGTAGAATCTGCTTGTGGATATTTGGAACTGGTTGAGGAATTCGTTGGAAACGGGTATCTTCACATACAAATTAGACCCAAGAATTCTCAGAAATTTCTTTGTGATGTGTGCGTTCAACTTACAAAATTGAACATTTCTTTTGATAGAGCAGTGCTGAAACACACTTTTTGTAGAATTTGCAAGTGTTCACTTGGAGCACATTGTTTCCTATTGTGGAAAAAGAAATATCATCACATAAAAACTAGACGAAAGCATTCTCAGAAAATCATTTGTGATGTGTGTGTTCAATTCAGAGTTGAATCTTTCATTGATAGAGCAGTTTTGAAACACTGCTTTCATAGAATCTGCTCTTGGATATTGGGAGCTCTTTGAGGAATTCATTGTAAACGGTATATCTTCACATACAAACTACACAGAAGCATTCTCAGAAACTTCTTTTTGATATGTGCATTCAACTCACAGAGTTGAACGAACCTTCCTTTTCAGAGAGAAGTTTTGAAACACTCTTTTTGTATTATCTGCAAGTGGATATTTGGAAGGATTTGAGGACTATGATGAAAAAGGAATTATCTTCACATATAAACTAGACAGAAGCATTCTGAGAAACTGCTCTGTGATGTGTGCATTCAACTCACAGAGTGGAACCATTCGTTTGGTAGAGCAGTATTGAAACAGTCTTTTTAACGATCTGCAAGTGTTCATTTGGAGTGCTTTGAAGCCTGTGGTGGAAAAAAAAAATATCTTCACATAAAAACTAGACAGAAGCATTCTCAAGAACTTCATGGAGATGTGTGCATTCAACTAACAGTGTTTAATCTGTCTTTTGATGGAGGAGAATTGAAACACTCCTTTTGTAGAATCTGCTTGTAGATATTTGGAACTCTTTGAGGAATTCGTTGCAAACTGGTATCTTAACATAAAAAGTAGACCCAAGCCTTCTCAGAAAGTTCTTTGTGATGTATGCATTGAACTCACAGACTTGAACATTTTTTTTTGATAGAGAAGTGTTGAAATGCACTTATTGTAGAATCTGCAAGGATTCATTTGGAGCGCTTTGTTGCCTAAGATGGAAAAAGAAATATCTTCACATAAAAACTAGACAGAAGCTTTCTCAGAAACTCCTTTGTGAGGTATGTGTTCAATTAACAGAGTTGAACCTTTCTTTTGTTAGAGCAGTTATGAAACACTGCTCTTGTAGAATCTGCTTGTGGATATTTGGAGCTCTTTGAGAAATTGGTTGTCAACGGGATATCCTCACATACAAACTAGACAGAAGCATTCTGAAAAACTGCTTTGTGATGTGTACATTCATCACACAGAGATGAAACTTCATTTTGAGAGAGCAGTTCTGAAACAGTATTTTTGTAGTATCTGCAAGTGGATATTTGTAGTGATATGAGGCCTATGATGGAAATGAAAATAGCTTCACATACAAACTAGACAGAAGCATTCTCAGAAACTGCTTTGTGATGTGTGTATTCAACTCACAGAGTTCAACTTTCCTTTTGAGAGAGCAGTTTTGAAACAGTCTTTTTGTAGTATCTGCAAGGAGAGGTTTTGAGTGATTTGAGGACTAAGATGGAAATGAAAATATCTTCACATACAAACTAGAGAGAACCATTCTCATAAACTGATTTGTGATGTGTGCCTTCAACTCACAGAGTTGAACCTTCCTTTTGAGAGAACAGTTTTGAAACAGTCTTTTTGCAGTATCTTCAAGTGGATATTTGTAGTGATTTGAGGCCTAAGATGGAAAAGGAAATACCTTCACATATAAACTAGACCGAAGCATTCTCAGAAACTGCTTTGTGATGTGTGCATTCAACTCACAGACTTGAACTTTTCTTTTCATAGAGCAGTGTTGAAACACACTTTTTGTAGAATCTGCAAGTGTTCATTTGGAGCGCTTAGTTGACTATGGTGGAAAAAGAAATATCTTCACATAAAAACTAGACAGAAGCGTTCTCAGAAACTCCTTTTACATGTGTGTGTTCAATTCACAGAGTTGTACCTTTCTTTTGATAGAGCAGTTTTGAAACACTGCTTTTGTAGAATTTGCTTATGGATATTTGGAGCTCTTTGAGGAATTCATTGTAAACGGGATATCTTCACATACAAACTAGACAGAAGCATTCTCAGAATTTGCTTGTAGATTTGTGCATTCAACTCACAGAGTTGAACCTTCCTTTTGAGAGAGCAGTTTTGAAACAGTCGTTTTGTAGTATCTGCAAGTGGATATTTTGAACTATTTGAGGCCATAGATGGAAAAGGAAATATGTTCACATACAAATTGAGAGAAGCAGTCTCAGAAACTGCTCTGTGATGTTGGAATTCAACTCATAGACTTGAACATTTCTTTTGATAGAGCATTGTTGAAACAGACTGTTTGTAGAATTTGCAAGTGTTCACCTGGAGAGCTTTGTTGCCTACAGTGGAAAGAAATATCTTCACATGAAAACTACACAGAAGCATTCTCAGAAACTCCTTTGTGATGTATGTGTAAAATTCACAGAGTTGAACAATTCTTTTGATAGAGCAGTTTTGAAACACTGCTTTTGTAGAATCTGATTGTGGATATTTGGAGCTCTTAGTGGAATTCCTTGTAAATGGGATATCTTCACTTGAAACCTAGACAGAAGAATTCTCAGAAACTACTATCTGATGAGTGCATTGAACTGACAGAATTGAAGCTTCCTTTTGAGAGTGCAATTTTCAGACAGTTTTTTTGTAGTATATGCAAGTGGATATTTGGAGCGATTCGAGGCCTATGGTGGAAAAGGAAATATCTTCACATAAAAACTAGGCAGAAGCATTCTCAGGAACAACATTGAGATGTGCACATTCAACTAACAGAGTTCTAACTGTCTTTTTATAGAGCAGTATTAAAACACTCCTTTTGTAGAATCTGCTTGTGAATATATGGAACTCTTTGAGGAATTAGTTGGTAAAGGGTATCTTCACAAAAAAAGTAGACACAAGCATTGTCAGAAAGTTCTCTGCGATGTGTGCATTCAACTCACACACTTGAACTTTTCTTTTGATAGAGCAGTGTTGAAACACACTTTTTGTAGAATCTGCAAGTGTTCATTTGGAGCGCTTTGTTGCCTATCGTGGAAAAAGATATATCTTCACATAAAAACCAGAAGAAAGCATTCTCAGAAACTCCTTTGTGATGTGTGTGTTAAATTCACAGAGTTGAAACTTTCTTTTGATAGAGCAGTTTTGAAACACTGCTTTTGTAGAATCTGCTTGTGGATATTTGGAGCTCTTTGAGGAATTCGTTGTAAACGGGATATTTTCACATACAAACTAGACAGAAGCATTCTCAGAAACTGCTTTGTGATGTGTGCATTCAACTCCAGTGTTAAACGTTCCTTTTGAAGGAGGAGTTTTGAAACACTCTTTTGGTAGTATCTGCAAGTGGATATTTGGAGCAATTTGAGGCCTATGATGGAAAGGAAAATATGTTCTCATACAAACTAGACAGAAGCATTCTCAGAAACTGCTTTGTGATGTGTGCATTCAACTCACAGAGCTGAACCTTCCTTTAAAGAGAGCAGTTTTGAAACAGTCTTTTTGTAGTATCTGCAAGTGGATATTTGGAGAGATTTGAGGCCTATGATGGAAAAGGAAATATCTTCACTTACAAACTATTCAGAAGTATTCTCGGAAACTGCTTTGTGATGTGTGCATTCAACTAGCACACTTGAACCTTTCTGTTGATAGAGCAGTGTTGAGACACACTTTTTGTAGGATTCTCAAGTGTTCATTTGGAGCACTTTGTTGCATATGGTGGAAAAAGGAATATCTTCCCATAAAAACTAGACAGAAGCATTCTCAGGAACTCCTTGTGATGTGTGTGTTTAATTCACAGAGTTGAACAATTCTGTTGTTATAGCAGTTTTGAAACACTGCTTTTATAGAATCTGCTTGTGGATATTTGGAGCTCTTTGAGGAATTCTTTGTAAACGGGATATCTTCACTTACAAATTAGACAGAAGAATTGTCACAAACTGCTTTGTGATGCTTGCATTCAACTCACTGAGTTGAATATTCCTTTTCATAGAGCAGTTTTGAAACCCTCTTTTTGTAGAATCTGTAAGTGGAAACTTGGAGCTCTTTGAGGCCTATGGTGAAAGAGGAAATATCTTCACATAAAAACTAGACAGAAGAATTCTCAGAAACATCTTTCTGATGTGTGTACTCAACTCACAGGGTTGAACTTTTCTTTTGATAGAACAGTTTTGAAACACTCTTTTGTAGTCTGCAAGTGGATATTTGGATAGCTTTGAGGAAACGGGAATATCTTCACCTAACCACTAGACAGAAACATTTGCAGAAACTTCTTTGTGATGTTCACATTCAACTCACAGAGTTGAACATTCCCTTTCATAGAGCTGTTCTGAAACACTTTTTTGTAGAATCTGCAAGTGGACATTTGGTGCGATTGGAGGCCCAGTTTGAAAAAGGAAATATCTTCACATTAAAGGTAGACAGAAGCATTCTCAGAATCTAATTTGTGATGTGTGTTCTCAACTCACAGAGTTAAACTTTTCCTTTGAAACAGCAATTTTGAAACACTCTTCTTGTAAATTTGCAAGTGGATATTAGGACATCATTGAGGATTTCGTTGGAAACGGAATATCTTCACATAAAACTAAACAGAATCATTCGCAGAAACTTCTTTGTGATGTGTGCATACAAGTCACAGAGTTGAAACTTCCTTTTGATAGAGCAGATTTGAAACACTATTTTTGTGGGATTTGCAAGTGATATTTTAACGGATTTGAGGACTTCTTTGGAAACGGGAATATCTTCACATAAAAACTACACAGAAGCGTTCTCAGAACAAACTTCGTGATGTTTGCATTCAACTCACGGAGTTGAACATTCCCTTTCAAAGAGCAGTTTTGAAACACTCTTTTAGTAGTACCTGGAAGTGGACATTTGGGGCACTTTGAGGCCTATGGTGAAAAAGGAAATATAGTCACATAAAAAATAGACGGAAGCATTCTCAGAAACTAATTTGTGATGTGTGTACTCAACTCACAGAGTTGAACACTCCTTTTCTTAGAGCAGTTTAGAAACACTCTTTTTGTAGAATCTGTTAGTGGAAACTTGGAGTGCTTTGAGGCCTATGGTGAAGAAGTCAATATCTTCCCACAAAAACTAGAGAGAAGAATTCTGAGAAACTTCTTTGTGATGTGTGTGCTCAACTCACAGAGTTGAACTTTTCTTTTGGTAGAGCAGTTTTGAAACACTTTTTTGTAGGGTCTGCAACTGGATATTTGGATAGCTGGGAGGATTTCGTGGGAAACGGGAATATCTTCACATAAAAACTACACAGAAGCATTCTCAGAAACTTCCATTGGTGTTTGCATTCAACTCACAGAGTTGAACATTCCCTTTCATAGAGCAGTTTTGAAACACTCTATTTGTAGTATCTGGAAGTGGACGTTTGGAGGGCTTTGAGGCCTATGGTGAAAAAGGAAATATCTTCTCATAAAAACAAGACAGAAGCATTCTCAGAAACTATTTTGTGATGTTTGTACTCAACTCACAGGGCTGAACCTTTCTTTTGATACAGCAGTTTTGAAACACTCTTTTTGTAGAATCTGCAGTGGATATTTGATAGCTTTGAGGCTTTCATTGGAAACGGGAATATCTTCACATAAAAAATAGACAGAAGCATTCTCAAAAACTTCTTTGTGATGCTTGCATTCAACTCACAGAGTTGAACATTCCCTTTAAAAGACCAGTTTTGAAACACTCTTTTTGTAGAATCTGCAAGTGGACATTTGGTGCGATTTGATACCTCTGGTGAAAAAGGAAATATCCTCACATAAAAGGTAGACAGAAGCATTCTCAGAAACTACTTTGTGATGTGTGTTCTCAACTCACAGAGTTAAAGATTTCCTTTGATACAGCAATTTTGAAACTCTCTTCTTGTAAAATTTACAAGTGGTTATTAGGACATCATTGAGGATTTCGTGGGAAACGGGATTATCTTCACATAAAACTAGACAGAAGCATTCTCAGAAACTTCTTTGTGATGTGTGCATTCAACTAACAGAGCTGAAACTTTCTTTTGATAGAGTAGATTGGAAACAATCTTTTTGTGGAATTTGCAAGTGGACATTTGGACAGATTTGAGGCCTTCGCTGGAAACGGGTGTATCGTCACATAAAAACTAGACAGAGGCATTCTCAGAAACTTCTTTGTGATGCTTCCATTCAACTCACAGAGTTGTACATTCCTTTTCATAGAGCAGATTTGAAACACTCTTTTTGTAGAATCTGTAAGTGGAAAGTTGGAGCGCTTTCAGGCCTATGGTAAAAAAGGAAATATCTTCCCATAAAAACTAGACAGAAGAATTCCAGAAACTTCTTTGTGATGTGTGTACTCAACTCACAGAGTTAAACCTTTCCTTTGATACAGCAGTTTGGAAACACTATTCTTGTAGAATTTACAAGTGGATATTAGGACAGCGATGAGTATTTCGTTGGAAACGCGATATCTTCACATAAAACTAGACAGAAGCATTCTCAGAAACTTCTTTGTGATGATTGCACTGAACTCACAGAGTTGAACGTTCCTTTTCATAGAGCAGTTTTGAAACACTCATTTTGTGAAATTTGCAAGTGAACATTTGGAGCAATTTGAGACTTGGTGAAAAAGGAAATATCTTCACATAAAAAGTGGACAGAAACATTCTCAGAAACTACTTTGTGATGTGTGTACTCAACTCACAGAGTTAAACCTTTCCTTTGATACAACAGTTCGGAACACTATTCTTGTAGAATTTGCAAGTGGATATTAGGACAGCTATGAGTATATCGTTGGATACGTGAATGTCTTCACATAAAAACTAGACAGAAGCATTCTCAGAAACTTCTTTGTGATGTTTACATTCAACTCACAGCGTTGAACGTTCACTTTCATAGAGCAGTTTTGAAACACTCTTTTCCTAGAATCTGCAAGTAGACATTTGGTGCGACTTGAGACCTTGTTTGAAAAAGGAAATATCTTCACATAAAAAGTAGACAGAAGCATTCTCAGAAACTTCCTTGTGATGTGTGTACTCAACTCATAGAGTTAAACTCTTCTTCCTTTGATACAGCAGATTTGAAACACTCTTCTTGTAGAAATTAGAAGTGGATGTTTGTACAGCATTGAGGATTTTGTTGGAAACGGGAATATTTTCACATAAAACTAGAGAGAAGCATTCTCAGAAGCTTGTTTGTGATGTATGCTCTCAACTCACTGATTTCAAACTTTCCTTTGATAGAGCAGATTGGAAACAGTCTTTTTGTCGAATTTCCAAGTGAATATTTTGACAGTTTTGAGGCCTTCGCTGGAAAAGGGAGTATCTTCACATAAATACTAGACAGAAGAATTCTCAGGAACTTCTTTGTGATGCTTGCATTCAACACAGGGAGTTGAACACTCCCTTTCTTAAAGCAGTTTACAAACTCTCTTTCTGTAGAATCTGTAAGTGGAAACTTGGAGCGCTTTGAGTCCTATGGTGAAAAAATAAGTATCTTCCCATAAAAACTAGACAGAAGAATTCTCAGAAACTTCTTTGTGATGTGTGTACTCAACTGACAGATTTGAACTCTTCTTTTCCTAGAGCAGTTTTGAAACACTCTTTTTGTAGACTCTGCAAGTGGATATTTGGATAGCTGTGAGGCTTTCCTTGGAAACAGGAATATCTACACATTAGAAGCACACAGAAGCAATCTCAGAAACTTCTTTGTGATGTTTGCATTCAACTCACGGAGTTGAACATTCCCTTCCATAGAGCAGTTTTGAAACTCTCTTTTTGTTGTATCTGGAAGTGGACATTTGGAGAGCTTTGATGCCTGCGGTGAAAAAGGAAGTATCCTCACATAAAAACCACACAGAAGCATTCTCAGAAACTTCTTTGTGATGTTTGCACTCAACTCACAGAGTTGAACATTCCCTTTCAGAAAGCAGATTTGAAACACTCTTTTTGTGAAATCTGCAAGTGGATATTTGCAGCGATTTGAGACGTATGGTGAAAAAGGAAATATCTTCACATAAAAAGTGGACAGAAGCATTCTCAGAAACTTCTTTGCGATGTGTGTACTCAACTCACAGAGTTAAACCTTTCCTTTGATACAGCAGTTTGGAAACACTATTCTTCTAGGATTTACAAGTGGATATTAAGACAGCGATGAGTATTACATTGGAAATGCGCATATCTTTACATGAAAACTAGACAGAAGCATTCTCAGAAACTACTTTGTGAGGTTTGCATTCAACTCTCGGAGTTAAACATTCCCTTTCAAAGAGCAGTTTTGAAACTCTCTTTTTGTAGTATCTGGAAGTGGACATTTGGAGTACTTTGAATCCTATGGTGAAAAAGGAAATGTCTTCACATAAAAACTAGACAGAAGCATTCTCAGAAACTACTTTGTGATGTGTGTACTCAACTCACAGAGTTGAACCTTTCTTTAGTACAGCAGTTTTGAAACACTCTTTTTGCAGAGTCTGCAAGTGGATATTTGGATAGCTTTGAGGATTTCTTTGGAAACGGGATTATCTTCAAATTAAAAACCAGACAGAAGCATTCTCAGAAACTTCTTTGTGAAGCCTGCATTCAACTCACTGAGTTGAACACTCCCTTTCAAAGAACAGTTTTGAAACACTCTTTTCATAGAATCTGTCAGTGGAAACTTGGAGTACTTTGAGGCCTGCACTGAAAAAGGAAATATCTTCCCATAAAAACTAGACAGAAGAATTCTCAGAAACTACTTTGTGATGTGTGTACTCAACTCACAGAATTGAACTCTTGTTTTCATAGAGCAGTTTTGAAATACTCTTTTTGTAGACTCTGAAAGTGGATATTTGGATAGCTGTGAGGCATTCGTTGGAAACGGGAATATCTTCACATTAAAACAAGACAGAAGCAATCTCAGAAACTTCTTTGTGATGTTTGCATTCAACTCACAGAATTGAACATTCCCTTTCATAGAGCAGCTTTGAAACACTCTTTTTCTTGTATCTGGAAGTAGACATTTGGAGAAATTTGATGCCTGCGGTGAAAAAGGAAGTACCTTCACATAAAAACCAGACAGAAGCATTCTCAGAAACTTCCCTGTGATGGGTGTACTCAACTAACAGAGTTAAATCTTTCTTTTGATAGAGCAGATTTGAAACACCCTTTTTGTAGAATCTGCGAGTGGATATTTGGATAGCTTTGAGGCTTTCATTGGAAACGGGAATGTCTTCTGATAAAAACTAGAGGGAAGCATTCTCAGAAACTACTTTGTGATGTTTGCATTCACCTCACGGAGTTGAACATTCCCTTTCAAAGAGCAGTTTTGAAACACTGTCTTTGTAGCATCTGGAAGTGCACATTTGGGGTAATTTGAGTCCTATGGTGAAAAGGGAAATATATTCACATAAAAACTAGAAAGAAGCATTTTCAGAAAAAACTTTGTGATGTCTGTACTCAAATCACAGAGTTGAACCTTTTCTTTGATACCGCACTTTTGAAACACTCTTTTTGGAGAATCTGCAAGTGGATATTTGGACAGCTGTGAGGCTTTCGTTGGAAACGGGGATATCTTCACAATAAAACTAGACAGAAGCAATCTCAGAAACTTCTTTGGGATGTTTGCATTCAACTCACAGAACTGAGCATTCCCTTTCATAGAGCAGCTTTGAAACACTCTTTTTATCATATCTGTAAGTGGACATTTGGAGAGCTTTGATGCCTGCAGTGAAAAAGGAAGTATCTGTACATAACAACCGGACAGAAGCATTTTCAGAAACTTATCTGTGATGTGTGTACTCAACTCACAGAATTGAACCTTTCTTTTGATAGAGCAGTTTTGAAACACTGCTTTTGTAGAATCTGCAAGTGGGTATTTGGATAGCTTTGAGGCTTTCATTTGAAACGGGAATATCTTCTCATGAAAAATAGAGGGAAGCATTCTCAGAAACTAATGTGTGATGTTTGCATTCAACTCAGGAAGTTGAACATTCCCTTTCAAAGAGCAGTTTTGAAACACTGTTTTTGTAGCATCTGGATGTGGACGTTTGGGGCACTTTGAGGCCTATGGTGAAAAAGGAAATATAATCACATAAAAACTAGAAAGAAGCATTCTCAGAAACTTCTTTGTGATGTTTGCACTCAACTCACAGAGTTGAACATTCCTTTTCATAGAGCAGTTTTGAAACACTCTTTTTGTGAAATCTGCAAGTGGACATTTGTAGCGATTTGAGACGTATGGTGAAAAAGGAAATATCTTCACATAAAAAGAGGACAGAAGCATTCTCAGAAACTTCTTTGAGATGTATGTACTCAACTCACAGAGTTAAACTTTTGCTTTGATACAGCAGTTTTGAAACATTATTCTTGTAGAATTTACAAGTGGATATTAAGACAGCGATGAGTATTTCATTGGAAAAGCGAATAGCTTCACATAAAAACAAGACAGAATCATTCTCAGAAACTACTTTGTGAGGTTTGCATTCAACTCTCGGAGTTAAACATTCCCTTTCAAAGAGCAGTTTTGAAACACTCTTTTTGTAGTATCTGGAAGTGGACATTTGGAGCGCTTTGAATCCTGTGGTGAAAAAGGAAATATCTTCACATAAAAACTAGACAGAAGCATTCGCAGAAACTACTTTATGATGTGTGTACTCAACTCACAGAGTTGAACCTTTCTTTAGATACAGCAGTTTTGAAACACTCTTTTTGCAGAGTCTGCAAGTGGATATTTGGATAGCTTTGAGTATTTCGCTGGAAACGGGATTATCTTCACATAAAAACGAGACAGAAGCATTCTCAGAGAATTCTGTGTGATGCCTGCATTCAACTCACTGAGTTGAACCTTCCTTTTCATAGAGCAGTTTTGAAACACTCTTTTTGCAGAATCTGTAAGTGGAAACTTGGAGCGATTTGAGGCCTACGCTGGAAAAGGGAATATCTACCCATAAAAACTATACACAAGAATTCTCAGAAACTTCTTTGTGATGTGTGCACTAAACTCACAGAGTTGAAATCTTCCTTTCATAGAGCAGTTTTGAAACACTCTTTTTGTAGACTGTGCAAGGGGATATTTGGATAGCTGTGAGGCTTTCATTCGAAACGGGACTATCTTCACATTGAAACTAGACAGAAGCAATCTCAGAAAATTCTTTGTGATGTTTGCATTCAACTCACAGAATTAAAAATTCCCTTTCATAGAGCAGCTTTGAAACACTCTTTTTGTTGTATCTGGAAGTGGACATTTGGGGAGCTTTGATGCCTGCATTGAAAAAGGAAGTATCTTCACATAAAAACCAGACAGAAGCATTCTCAAAAACTTCTCTGTGATGGGTGTACTCAACTCACGGTGTTGAACCTTCCTTTTGATAGAGCAGTTTTGAAACACTCTTTTTGTAGTATCTGGAAGTGGATATTTTTACAACTTTGAGGTTTTCATTTGAAACGGGAATATATTCTTATAAAAACTAGAGGGAATCATTCTCAGAAACTACTCTGTGACGTTTCCATTCAACTCGCGGAGTTGAACGTTCCCTTTCAAAGAGCAGTTTTGAAACACTGTTTTTGTAGCATCTGGAAGTGGACAGTTGGGGCACTTTGAGGCCTATGGTGAAAAAGGAATTATATTCATATAAAAACTAGAAAGAAGCATTCTCAGAAACTACTTTCTGATGTGTGTACTCAACTCACAGAGTTGAACCTTTCCTTTGATACAGCACTTTTGAAACACTCTTTTTGGAGAATCTGCAAGTGGATATTTGGATAGCTTTGAGGCTTTCGTTGGAAACGGGAATATCTTCACCTAAAAACTAGACAGAAGCATTCTCAGAAACTTCTTTGTGATGTTTGCACTCAACTCACAGAGTTGAACATTCCTTTTCATAGAGCAGTTTTGAAACACTCTTTTTGTGAAATCTGCAAGTGGACATGTGTAGCGATTTGAGACGTATGGTGAAAAAGTAAATATCTTCACATAAAAAGGGGACAGAAGCATTCTCAGAAACTTCTTTGTGATGTGTGTACTCAACTCACAGAGTTAAACCTTTCCTTTGATACAGCAGTTTGCAAACACTATTTTCGTAGAATTTAGAAGGGTATATTAGGACAGCGATGAGTATTTCGTTGGAAACGTGAATATCTTCACATAAAAACTAGACAGAAGCATTCTCAGAAACTACTTTGTGAGGCTTGCATTCAACTCTCGGAGTTAAACGTTCCCTTTCAAAGAGCAGTTTGGAAACACTCTTCTTGAAGTATCTAGAAGTGGACATTTTGAGCGCTTTGAATCATATGGTGAAAAAGGAAATGTCTTCACTAAAAAATAGACAGAAGCATTCTCAGAAACTACTTTGTGATGTGTGTACTCAACTCACAGAGATGAAACTTTCTTTAGATACAGCAGTTTTGAAACACACTTTTTGTAGAGTCTGCAAGTGGATATTTGGATAGCTTTGAGGATTTCGTTGGAAATGGGATTATCTTCACATAAAAACTAGACAGAAGCATTCTCAGAAACTTCTTTGTGATTCAACTCACTGCATTCAACTCACAGAGTTGAACATTCCTTTTCATAGATCAGTTTTGAAACACTCTTTTTGTAGAATCTGTAATTGGAAACTGGGAACGCTTTGAGGCCGACGGTGAAAAATCAAATATCTTCCATAAAAGCTAGACACAAGAATTCTCAGAAACTTCCTTTGTGATGTGTGTACTCAACTCACAGAGTTGAACTCTTCTTTTCATAGAGCAGTTTTGAAACACTC
>NT_187443.1:38360-43284 GCF_000001405.40 Homo sapiens
TTTTGAAACACTCTTTTTGTAGGCTCTGCAAATAGATATTTGGATAGCTGTGAGGCTTTCGTTGGAAACGAGAATATCTTCACATTAAAACTAGACAGAAGCAACCTCAGAAACTTCTTTGTGATGTTTGCATTCAACTCACAGAATTGAACATTCCCTTTCATAGAGCAGCTTTGAAAGACTCTTTTTGTTGTATCTGCAAGTGGACATTTGGAGAGCTTTGATGCCTGCGGTGAAAAAGGAAGTATCTTCACATAAAAACCAGACAGACGCATTCTCAGAAACATCTCTGTGTTGGGTGTACTCAACTCACAGAGTTGAACCTTTCTTTTGATAGAGCAGTTTTGAAACACTCTTTTTGTAGAACGTGCAAGTGGATATTTGGATAGCTTTGAGGCTTTCATTTGAAACGGGAATATCTTCTCATAAAAACTAGAGGGAATCATTCTCAGAAACTACTTTGTGATGTTTGCATTCAACTCACGGAGTTAAACATTCCCTTTCAAAGAGCAGTTTTGAAACACTGTTTTTGTAGCATCTGGAAGTGGACATTCGGGGCACTTTGAGGCCTATGGCGAAAAAGGAAATATATCCACATAAAAAGTAGAAAGAGAATTCTGAGAAACTACTTTGTGATGATTGCATTCAACTCACAGAGTTGAACATTCCTATTGATAGAGCAGTTTTCAAACATTCTTTTCATAGAGTCTGCAAGTGGACATTTGGAGGGCTTTCAGGCCTGTGGTGGAAAAGGAATTATCGTCACATAAAAACTAGAGAGAAGCATTGTCAGAAACTTATTTGTGATGATTGCGTTCAACCCACAGTGTTGAAGATTCCTTTTCAAACAGCAGTTTCGACACACTCTTTCTGTGGAATCTGCAAGTGGATATTTGGACCTCTCTGAGGATTTAGTTGGAAAAGGGATAAACCTCACATAACTAAACAGAAGCATTCTCAGAACCTACTTGGTGATGATTCCATTCAACTCACAGAATTGAACATTCCTATTGATAGAGCAGTTTGGAAACTCTCTTTTTGTAGAATCTGCAAGTGGAGATGTGGAGCACTTTGAGGCCTGTGGTAGTAAAGGAAATAGCTTCATATAAAAACTAGACAGAAGCATTCTCAGAAAATTCTTTTTGACGATTGAGTTTAACTCACAGAGCTGAACATTCCTTTGGATGGAGCTGTTTTGAAACACACCTTTTGTAGAATCTGCAAGTGGATATTTGGACCTCTCTGAGGATTTCGTTGGAAACGGGATAACTTCACCTAACTAAACAGAAGCAGTCTCAGAAACTTCTTTGTGATGTTTGCATTCAAATCCCAGACTTGAACCTTCCTTTGATAGTTCAGGTTTGAAACCCTCTTTTTGTAGGATCTGCCAGTGGATATTTGGACCACTTTGTGGCCTTCATTCGAAACGGGTATACCTTCACATAAAATCTAGACAGAAGCCTTCTCAGAAACTTCTCTGTGATGATTGCATTCAAGTCACGGAGTTGAACACTCCTTTTGATAGAGCATTTTTGAAACTCTCTTTTTGTAGAATCTGCAAGTGGATATGTGGACCTCTTTGAAGATTTCTTTGGAAACGGGAATATCTTCACATAAAAACTAAACAGAAGCATTCTCAGAAACTCCTTTGTGATGTTTGTTTTCAACTCACAGAGTTTAACATTGCTTTCCATAGAGCAGTTTTGAAACATTCTTTTCTTAGTGTCGGCAAGTGGACATTTGGAGCGCTTTCAGGCCTGTGGTGGAAAACGAATTATCGTCACATAAAAACTAGAGAGAAGCATTGTCAGAAACTTCTTTGTGATGATTGCATTCAACTCACCGAGTTGAAGATTCCTTTTCAAGCAGCAGTTTCGAAACACTCTTTCTGTGGAATCTGCAAGTGGATATTTGGACCTCTTTGAAGATTTCATTGGAAACGGGATAATCTTCACATAAAAGCTAAATGGAAGCATTCTCAGAAACTTCTTTGTGATGTTTGCATTCAACTCACAGAGTTGAACTTTCCTTTTGAGAGAGAAGCTTTGAAACACTCTTTTTCTAGAATCTGCAAGTGGACATTTGGAGGGCTTTGAGGCCTGTGTTGGAAAAGGGAATATCTTCCCGTAAAAACTAGATAGAAGCATTCTCAGAAAATACTTTGGGATGATTGCATTCAAGTCACAGAGTTGAACATTCCCTTTGATAGAGCAGTTTGGAAACACTCTTTTTGTAGAATCTGCAAGTGGAGATTTGGATCGCTTTGAGACCTATGGTAGTAAAGGAAATAACTTCATCTAAAAACTAGACAGTAGCATTCTCAGAAAACTGTTTGTGACGATTGAGTTTAGCTCACAGAGCTGCACATTCCTTTTGACGGAGCAGTTTCAAATCACACTTTTTGTAGAATCTGCAAGTGGATATTTGGACCTCTCTGAGGATTTCCTTGGAAACGGGATAAACCTCACATAACTAAACAGAAGCATTCTCAGAACCTTCTTCGTGATGTTTGCATTCAACTCACAGTGTTGAACCTTTCTTTGATAGTTCAGGTTTGAAACACTCTTTTTGCAGAGTCTGCAAGTGGATATTTGGACCTCTTTGAGGCCTACCATAGTAAAGGAAATAACTTCATATAAAAACAAGACAGAAGCATTCTCAGAAAATTCTCTGTGATGATTGAGTTTAACTCACAGAGCTGAACATTCCTTTGGATGGAGGAGTTTCGAAACTCACTTTTTGTAGAATCTGCAAGTGGATATTTGGACCTCTCTGAGGATTCCATTGAAAACGGGATAATTTCAGCTAACTAAACAGAAGCAGTCTCAGAAACTTCTTTGTCATGTTTGCCTTCAAATCCCAGAGTTGAACCTTCCTTTGATAGTTCAGGTTTGAAACACTCTTTTTGTAGGATCTGCAAGTGAATATTTGGAACACTCTGTGGCCTTCGTTCTAAACGGGTATATCTTCACATAAAATCTAGACAGAAGCATTCTCAGAAACTTCTTTGTGATGCCTGCATTCAACTCACAGAGTTGAACATTGCTTTTCATAGAGCAGTTTTGAAACAATCTTTTTGTAGAATCTGTAAGTGGAAACTTGGAGCACTTTGAGGCCTATGGTGAAAAAGGGAATACCTTCCGATAAAAACTAGACTGAAGAATTCTCAGAAACTTCTTTGTGAGGTGTGTACTCAGCTCACAGAGTCGAACTCTTCTTTTCACAGAGCAGTTTTGAAACACTCTTTTTGTAGACTCTGCAAGTGGATATTTTGATAGCTGTGAGGCTTTCGTTGGAAACGGGAATATCTTCACATTAAAACTTGACAGAAGCAATCTCAGAAACTTCTTAGTGGTGTTTGCAATCAACTCACAGGATTGAACATTCCCTTTCATAGAGCAGTTTTGAAACACTCTTTTTGTTGTATCTGGACTTGGACATTTGGAGAGATTTGATGCCTGCGGTGAAAAAAGAATTATCTTCACATAAAAACCAGACAGAAGCATTCTCAGAAACTTCTCTTTGATGGTTGTACTCAGCTGACAGGGTTGATCCTTTCTTTTGATAGAGCTCTTTTGAAACACGCTTTCTGAAGAATCTGCTAGTGGATATTTGGATAGCTTTGAGCCTTTCATTGAAACGGGTATATCTTCTCATAAAAGCTAGAGGGAAGCATTCTCAGAAACTACTTTGTGATGTTTGCATTCAACTCACAGAGGTGAAAATTCCCTTTCAAAGAGCAGTTTTGAAACATTGTTTTTGTAGCATCTGGAAGTAGACATTTGGGGCACTTTGAGGCCTATGATGAAAAAGGAAATATATTCACATAGAAACTAGAAAGAAAAATTCTCAGAAACTACTTTGTGATGTGTGTACTCAACTCACAGAGTTGAACCTTACCTTTGTTACAGCACTTTTGAAACACTCTTTTTAGAGAATCTGCAAGTGGATATTTGGATAGCTTTGAGGCTTTCATTGGAAACGGGAATATCTTCACCTAAAAACTTAACAGAAGCATTCTCAGAAACTTCTTTGTGATGTTTGCACTCAACTCACAGAGTTGAACATTCCTTCTCATAGAGCAGTTTTGAAACACTCTTTTTGTGAAATCTGCAAGTGGACATTTGTAGCGATTTGAGACGTATGGTGAAAAAGGAAATATCTTCACATAAAAAGTGGACAGAAGCATTCTCAGAAACTTCTTTGTGATGTGAGTACTCAACTCACAGAGTTAAACTTTTCCTTTGATACAGCACTTTTGAAACACTCTTTTTGGAGAATCTGCAAGTGGATATTTGGATAGCTTTGAGACATTCGTTGGAAACCAGAATATCTTCACCTAAAAACTAGACAGAAGCATTCCCAGAAACGTCTTTGTGATGTTTGCACTAAACTCACAGAGTTGAACATTCCTTTTCGTAGAGCAGTATTGAAACACTCATTTTGTAGAATCTGTAAGTGGAAACTTATAGTGCTTTGAGGCCTATGATGAAAAAGGAAATATCTTCCC
Organism: Homo sapiens; assembly: GCF_000001405.40. Taxonomy (NCBI): domain Eukaryota; kingdom Metazoa; phylum Chordata; class Mammalia; order Primates; family Hominidae; genus Homo; species Homo sapiens. The sequence continues at coordinate 42,871 of NT_187443.1, forward strand.
ATAAAAACTAGACAGAATTCTCAGAAACTTCTTTGTGATGTGTGTACTGAACTCATAGAGTTGAACTCTTCTTTTCATAGAGCAGTTTTGAAAGATTCTTTTTGTAGACTCTGCAAGTGGATATTTGGATAGCTGTGAGGCTTTTGTTGGAAACGGGAATATCTTCACATAAAACTAGACAGAAGAAATCTCAGAAACTTCTTTGTGATGTTTGCATTCAACTCACAGAATTGAACATTCCCTTTCATAGAGCAGTTTTGAAACACTATTTTTCTTGTATCTGGAAGTGGACATTTGGAGACCTTTGATGCCTGCATTGAAAAAGGAAATATCTTCACATAAAAAGCAGACAAAAGCATTCTCAGAAACTTCCCTTTGGTGGGTTTACTCAAGTCACAGGGTTGAACCTTCTTT
>NT_187443.1:53204-60282 GCF_000001405.40 Homo sapiens
CCTTCTTCGGCCTCAAATCACTGCAAATATCCACTTGCGGATACTACAAGAAGACTGTTTCAAACCGCTCTCTCAAAAGGAAGGTTCGACTCCGTGAGTTGAATGCACACGTTACGAAGCAGTTTCTGAGAATGCTTCTGTCTATTTTTCAGGTGAAGATATCACTTTTTCCAACATACGTAAAAAAGTACTCGAAATGAACACTTGCAGATTCTACAAAAAGGATGTTTCAACACTGCTCTATCAAAAGAAAGGTTCAACGATGTGAATTGAACACACACATCACAAAGGAGTTTCAGAGAATGCTTCTGTCTAGTGTTTAGGTGACGGTATTTCCCACATAGGCAACAAAGCGCTCCAAATGAATACTTGTGGGTTCTACAAAAAGTGTGTCTCAACACTGCTCTATCAAAAGAAAGTTTCCAGTCTGTGAGTTGAATGCACACATCACAACGAACTTTCTGAGAATGCTTGGGTCTACTTTTTATGTGAAGATACCCGTTTCCAACGAATAACTCAAAGAGTTCCAAATATACACAGTCAGGTACTGCAAAAGGAGTGTTTCACTCCTGCTCTGTCAAAAGACAGTTTCAACTCTGTTAGTTGAATGCACACATCTCAATGAAGTTCCTGAGAAGGCTTCTGCCTAGTTTTTTGTGAAGATATTCCCTTTTCCACCATAGGCTTCACAGCGCTCCAAATGAAAACTTGCAGGTCCTACAAAAAGACTGATTCAAAACTGCTCTCCCAAAAGGAAGGTTCAACTGTGTGAGTTGAATGCACACATCACAAAGCAGTTCCTGAGAATGCTTCTGTCTAGTTTGTATGTGAAGATATTTCCTTTTCCATCATAGGCCTCAAATCGCTCCAAATATCCACTTGCAGATACTACAAAAATACCGTTTCAACACTGCTCTCTCCAATGGAAGGTTCAACTCTGTGAGTTGAATGCACACATCACAAAGCAGTTTCTGAGAATGCTTCTGTCTAGTTTGTATGTGAAGATATCCCGTTTACAACGAATTCTTCAAAGAGCTCCAAATATCCACAAGCAGATCCTACAAAAGCAGTCTTTCAAAACTGCTCTATCAAAAGAAAGGTTCAACTCTGTAAATTGAACACACACATCACAAAACAGTTTCTGAGACTGCTTCTGTCTAGTTTTTATGTCAAGATATTTCTTTTTCCAACATAGGCAAAAAAGCGCTCCAAATGAACACTTGCAGATTCTACAAAAAGTGCGTTTCAACACTGCTCTGTCAAAAGAAATGTTCAAGTCTGTGAGTTGAATGCACACATCACAAAGAGCATTCTCAGAATTGTTGGGTCGCCTTTTTATGTGAAGATACCAGTTTCTAATGAATTCCTCAAAGAGTTCCAAATATCCTCAAGCAGATTCTACAAAAGGAGTGTTCCAGTATTGCTCTTTCAAAAGACAGATTCAACTCTGTTAGTTGTATGCAGATATCTCGATGAAGTTCCTGAGAATGCTTCTGTCTTAGTGTTTATGTGAAGATATTTCCTTTTCAACCATATTCTTCCAAGCGCTCCAAATGAACACTTTCAGATCCTACAAAAAGACTGTTTCAAAACTGCTCTCTCAAAAGGACGTTTCCACTCTGTGAGGTGAATGCACACATCACAAAGGAGTTTCTGATAATGCTTCTGTCTAGTTTTTATGTCAAAATATTTCTTGTTCCACCAAAGGAGAAAAAGCGCTCCATATCAACACCTGCAGATACTTCAAAAAGTGTGATTCAACACTGGTGTATCAAAACAAATTTCCAGTCTGTGTGTTGAATGCACACATCACAAACAAATTTCTGACAATGCTTGGATCTACTTTTTATGTGAAGATAACCATTTCCAACGAACTCTTCAAAGAGTTCCAAATATTCACAAGCGGACTCTACAAAAGCAGTGTTTCAATAGTGCTCAATCAAAAGACAGATTCAACTCTGTTAGTTGAATGCACACATCTCAATGAACTTCCTGAGAATGCTTCTGTCTAGTTTTTATGTGAAGATATTTCCTTTTCCATCAGAGGCCTGAAATCGCTCTAAATATCCACTTGCCGATACTACAAAAAGACTGTTTCAAAACTGCTCTCTCAAAAGGAAGTTTCAACTCTCTGAGTTGAATGCACACATCACAAAGAACTTTCTGAGAATGCTTGGGTATGCTTTTTACAGGAAGATACCCGTTTCTAACGAATTCCTCAAAGAATTGCAAATATCCACAAGCAGATTCTACAAAACGAGTGTTTCAGTAATGCGCTATCAAAAGACAGATCAAATTGTTAGTTGACTGCACACATCTCAATGAAGTTCCTGAGAATGCTTTTGTCCAGTATATAGGTGAAGATATTTCCTTTTCCACCATAGGCTTCAAAGCGCTCCAAATGAAAACTACAGATCCAACAAAAAGACTGTTTCAAAACTGCTCTATGAAAAAAACGGTACCACTCTGTGAGGTGAATGCACACATCAGAAAGCAGTTTCTGAGAATGCTTCTGTCTAGTTTGTGTGTGAAGATAGTTCCTTTCCCATCATAGGCCTCTAATCGATCTAGATATCCACTTGCAAATAATACAAAAAGACTGTTTCAAAACTGCTCTCACAAAAGGAAGGTTCAACACTGTGAGTTGAATGCACACATCAGAAAGCAGTTTCTGAGAATGCTTCTGTCTAGTTTTTATGTGAAGATATTTCCTTTTCCATCATAGGCCCCAAATCGCTCCAAATATCTACATGCCGATACTACAAAAAGACTGTTTCAAAACTGCTCTATCAAAAGAAAGGTTCAAGTCTGTGAATTGAACACACACATCAAAAAGGAGTTTCTGAGAATGCTTCTGTCTAGTTGTTATTTGAAGATATTTCTTTTTCCAGAATAGTCAACAAAGTGCTCCAAATGAACACTTGCAGATTCCACAAAAAGACTGTTTCAAAACTGCTCTATCAAAAGAAAGGGCAAGACTGTGAGTTGAATGCACACATCACAAAGCAGTTTCTGAGAATGCTTCTGTCTAGTTTGTATGTGAAGATGATATTTCTTTTTCCATTTTAGGCCTCAAATCACTCCATTTATCCACTTGCAGATACTACAAAAAGACTGTTTGAAAACTGCCCTCTCAAAAGGAAGGTTCAACTCTGTGAGTTGAATGCACACAACACAAAGCAGTTTCTGACAATGCTTCTCTCTAGTTTGTATGTGAAGATATCCCGTTTACAATGAAATCCTCAAAGAGCTCCAAATAACCAAAGGAGATTCTACAAAACCAGTGTTTCAAAACTGCTCTATCAAAAGAAAGGTTCAAGTCCGTGAGTTGAACGCACACATTACCAAGCAGTTGAATGCTCCTGTCTGGTTTGTATGTGAAGACATACTGTTTACAAAGAATACCCCAAGACCTTCAAATATCCAGAAGCAGATCCTACAAATCAGTGGATCAAAAATGCTCTATCAAAAGAAAGTTTCAACTCTGTGAATGGAAAACACACATCACAAAGGTGTCTCTGAGAATGCTTCTGTCTAGTTTTTATGTGAAGATATTTATTTTTCCACCATAGGCAACAAAGCGCTCCAAATGGACACCTGCGGATCCTACAGAAAGCATGTTTCAACACTGCTCTATGAAAAGAAATGTTCAAGTCTGTGAGTTGAAGGCACACATGACAAAGAACTTCCTGAGAATTCTTGGGTCTTCTTTTTTGTGAAGATATCCGTTTCCAACGAATTCCTCAAAGAGTTCCAAATATCCCCAAGCAGATTCTACAAAAGGAGTGTTTTAATACTGCTCTATCAAAAGACAGATTCAACTGTTATTTGAATGCATACATCTTAATGAAGTTCCTGAGAGTGCTTTGGTGTAGGTTTTACGTGAATATATTTACTTTTCCACCTTAGGCTTCAAAGAGCTCCAAATGAACACATGCAGATCCTACAAAAAGACTGTTTCAAAACTGGTCTGACAAAAAAACGGTTCCACTCTGTGAGGTGAGTGCACACATCAGAAAGCAGTTTCTGGGAATGCTTCTGTCTAGTTTTTATGTGAAGATATTTCCTTTTCCATCATAGGCCTCAAATCGCTCCAAATATCCGCTTGCAGATACTACAAAAAGACTGTTTCAAAACTGCTCTCTCTGAAAAGGAAGGTTCAACTCTGTGAGTTGAATGCACACATCACAAAGCAGTTTCTGAGAATGCTTCTGTCTAGTTTTGATGTGAGGATATTTCTTTTACCACCATAGGCAACACAGCGCTCCAAATGAACACTTGCAGATTCTTCGAAAGCAGTGTTTCAAAACTACCCTATCAAAAGAAAATTTCAACTCTGTGAATTGGACACACACTTTACAAAGTAGTTTCTGGAGATGCTTCTGTCTAGTTTTTAAGAGAAGATAATCCTTTTTCCACCATAGGCAACACAGCGCTCAAAATGAACACTTGCAGATTCTACAAAAAGCATGTTCCAACATTGCTCTATCAAAAGAAAGGTTGAAGTCTGTGAGTTGAATGCACACATCACAAAGAACTTTGTGAGAATGCTTGGGTCTTCTTTTTATGTGAGGATACCCGTTTCTAACGAATTCCTCGAAGAGTTCCAAATATCCAAAAGCAGATTCTACAAAAGGAGTTTTTAAATACTGCTCTATCAAAAGACAGATTCAACTCTGACAGTAGAATGGACACATCTCAATGAAGTTCCTGAGAATGCTTCTGTCTAGTTTGTATGTGAAGATATTTCCTTATCCACCATAGGCTTCAAAGCGCTCCAAATGCACACTTGCAGGTCCTACAAAAAGACTGTTTCAAAACTGCTCTACCAAAAGAAAGCTTCCACTCTATTAGGTGAATACACACATCACAAAGCAGTTTCTGAGTATGCTTCTTTCTAGTTTGTATGTGAAGGTATTTCCTTTATCCCTCTTAGGCCTCAAATCATTACAAATATCCCCTTGTAGATACCACAGAAAGATTGTTTCAAAACCTCTCTCAAAAGGAAGGTTCAACTCTGTGAGTTGAATGCAAACATCACAAAGCAGTTTCTGAGAATTCTTCTGTCTAGTTTTTATGTGAAGATATTTCCTTTTCATTCACAGGCCTCAAATCGCTCCAAATATCCACTGGCAGATACTCCAAAAAGACTGTTTCAAAACTGCTCTCTCAAAAGGAAGGTTCAACTGTGTGAGTGGAATGCACACATCACAAAGCAGTTTCTGAGAATGCTTCTGTCTAGTTAGTATGTGAAGATATTTCGTTTTCCATCATAGGCCTCAAATTGCTTCAAATATCCACTTGCAGATACTACAAAAGACTGTTTCAAAACTGCTCTCGCAAAAGGAAGGTTCAAGTCTGTGAGTTGAATGCACACATCACAAAGCAGTTCCGAGAATGCTTCTGTCTAGTTTGTATGTGAAGATATCCTGTTTACAACGATTTCCTCAAATAGCTCCAAATATGCACAAGCCGATTCTGCAAAAGAAGTGTTTCAAAACTGCTCTATCAAAAGAAAGGTTCAACTCTGTGAATTGAACACACACATCCCAAAGGAGTTTCTGAGAATACTTCAGTCTAGTTTTTATGTGAAGATATTTCTTTTTCCACCATAGGCGACAAAGCGCTCCAAATGAACACTTGCAGATTCTACAAAAAGTGTGTTTCAACACTGCTCTATCAAAAGAAAGGCTCAAGTCTGTGAGTTGAATGCACACATCACAAAGAACAGTCTGAGGATGCTTGGGTCTAATTTTTATGTTAAGATAACTGTTTCCAATGAATACCTCAAAGAGTCCGTAAAATCCACCAGTGGATTCTACAAAAGGAGTTTTTCAATACTGCCCTATCAAGACACAGATTCAACGCTGTTAGTTGAATGCACACATCACAAAGCAGTTCCTGAGAATGCTTCTGTCTAGTTTTTATGTGAAGATATTTCCTTTTCCACCGTAGGCTTCAAAGCACTCCAAATGAACATTTGCAGATCCTACAAAAAGACGGTTTCAAAGCTGCTCTATCAAAAGAACGATAACACTCTTTGAGGTGAATGCACACATCACAAAGCAGTTTCTGAGAATGCTTCTTTCTAGTTTGTACGTGATTATATTTCCATTTCCATCTTAGACCTCAAATCGCTCCTAATATTCACTTGCAGATACTACAAAGAGACTGTTTCAAAACTGCTCTCTCAAAAGGAAGGTTCAACTCTCTGAGTTGAATGCACACATCACAGAGCAGTTTCTGAGAATGCTTCTGTCTAGTTTGTATGTGAAGATATCCCATTGACAGCGAATTCCTCAAAGAGCTCCATATATCCACAAACAAATTCTACAAAAGCAGTGTATCAAAACTGCTCTATCAAAAGAACTGTGAATTGAAGGCACACATCACAAAGGAGTTTCTGAGAATGCTTCTGTCTACTTTTTATGTGAACATATTCCTTTTGCCACCATAGGCAACAAAGCACTCCAAATGAACACTTGTGGATCCTACAAAACGTGTGTTTCAACACTGCTCTATCAAAAGAAAGGTTCAAGTCTGTGAGCTGAATGCACACATCACAAACCAGTTTCTGAGAATGCTTCGGTCTTGTTTGTATATGAAGGTATTTCGTTTTCCATCTTAGGCCTCAAATCAGTACAAATAGCCACTTGTAGATAATTCAAAAAGACTGTTTCAAAACCGCTCTCTCAAAAGGAAGGTTGCACTATTTGAGTTGAATGCACACAACACAAAGCAGTTTCTGAGAATGCTTCTGTATAGTTTGTATGTGAAGATATCCCGTTTAGAACGATATCCTAAAAGAGCTCCAAATATCCACAAGCAGATTCTACAAAGGCAGTGTTTCAAAATTGCTCTATCATCAAAAGAAAATTTCAACTCTGTGAATTGGACACACACTTCACAATGGAGTTTCTGAGAATGCTTCTGTCTAGTTTTTACATAAAGATATTTCTTTTTCCAGCATACGCAACAAAGAGCTCTTGATGAACACTTGCAGATTCTATAAAAAGTGAGTTTCAACACTGCTCTATCAAAGGGAGATTCAAGTCTGTGAGTTGAATGCACACATCAC
>NT_187443.1:60302-81655 GCF_000001405.40 Homo sapiens
TTGTTAGTTGACTGCACATATCTCAATGAAGTTCTGAGAATACTTTTGTCCAGTATATAGGTGAAGATATTTCCTTTTCCACCATAGGCTTCAAAGCGCTCCAAATGAAAACTACAGATCCAACAAAAAGACTGTTTCAAAACTGCTCTATGAAAAAAACGGTACCACTCTGTGAGGTGAATGCACACATCAGAAAGCAGTTTCTGAGAATGCTTCTGTCTAGTTTGTGTGTGAAGATAGTTCCTTTCCCATCATAGGCCTCTAATCGATCTAGATATCCACTTGCAAATAATACAAAAAGACTGTTTCAAAACTGCTCTCACAAAAGGAAGGTTCAACACTGTGAGTTGAATGCACACATCAGAAAGCAGTTTCTGAGAATGCTTCTGTCTAGTTTTTATGTGAAGATATTTCCTTTTCCATCATAGGCCCCAAATCGCTCCAAATATCTACATGCCGATACTACAAAAAGACTGTTTCAAAACTGCTCTATCAAAAGAAAGGTTCAAGTCTGTGAATTGAACACACACATCAAAAAGGAGTTTCTGAGAATGCTTCTGTCTAGTTGTTATTTGAAGATATTTCTTTTTCCAGAATAGTCAACAAAGTGCTCCAAATGAACACTTGCAGATTCCACAAAAAGACTGTTTCAAAACTGCTCTATCAAAAGAAAGGGCAAGACTGTGAGTTGAATGCACACATCACAAAGCAGTTTCTGAGAATGCTTCTGTCTAGTTTGTATGTGAAGATGATATTTCTTTTTCCATTTTAGGCCTCAAATCACTCCATTTATCCACTTGCAGATACTACAAAAAGACTGTTTGAAAACTGCCCTCTCAAAAGGAAGGTTCAACTCTGTGAGTTGAATGCACACAACACAAAGCAGTTTCTGACAATGCTTCTCTCTAGTTTGTATGTGAAGATATCCCGTTTACAATGAAATCCTCAAAGAGCTCCAAATAACCAAAGGAGATTCTACAAAACCAGTGTTTCAAAACTGCTCTATCAAAAGAAAGGTTCAAGTCCGTGAGTTGAACGCACACATTACCAAGCAGTTGAATGCTCCTGTCTGGTTTGTATGTGAAGACATACTGTTTACAAAGAATACCCCAAGACCTTCAAATATCCAGAAGCAGATCCTACAAATCAGTGGATCAAAAATGCTCTATCAAAAGAAAGTTTCAACTCTGTGAATGGAAAACACACATCACAAAGGTGTCTCTGAGAATGCTTCTGTCTAGTTTTTATGTGAAGATATTTATTTTTCCACCATAGGCAACAAAGCGCTCCAAATGGACACCTGCGGATCCTACAGAAAGCATGTTTCAACACTGCTCTATGAAAAGAAATGTTCAAGTCTGTGACTTGAAGGCACACATGACAAAGAACTTCCTGAGAATTCTTGGGTCTTCTTTTTTGTGAAGATATCCGTTTCCAACGAATTCCTCAAAGAGTTCCAAATATCCCCAAGCAGATTCTACAAAAGGAGTGTTTTAATACTGCTCTATCAAAAAACAAATTCCACTGTTATTTGAATGCTTACATCTTAATGAACTTCCTGAGAGTGCTTTGGAGTACGTTTTACCTGAATATATTTACTTTTCCACCTTATGCTTCTAAGAGCTCCAAATGAACACGTGCAGATCCTACAAAAAGACTGTTTCGAAACTGGTCTGACAAAAAAACGGTTCCACTCTGTGAGGTGAGTGCACACATCAGAAAGTTGTTTCTGGGAATGCTTCTGTCTAGTTTTTATGTGAAGATATTTCCTTTTCCATCATAGGCCTCAAATCGCTCCAAATATCCGCTTGCAGATACTACAAAAAGACTGTTTCAAAACTGCTCTCTCTGAAAAGGAAGGTTCAACTCTGTGAGTTGAATGCACACATCACAAAGCAGTTTCTGAGAATGCTTCTGTCTAGTTTTGATGTGAGGATATTTCTTTTACCACCATAGGCAACACAGCGCTCCAAATGAACACTTGCAGATTCTTCGAAAGCAGTGTTTCAAAACTACCCTATCAAAAGAAAATTTCAACTCTGTGAATTGGACACACACTTTACAAAGTAGTTTCTGAGAATGCTTCTGTCTAGTTTTTAAGAGAAGATAATCCTTTTTCCACCATAGGCAACACAGCGCTCAAAATGAACACTTGCAGATTCTACAAAAAGCATGTTCCAACATTGCTCTATCAAAAGAAAGGTTGAAGTCTGTGAGTTGAATGCACACATCACAAAGAACTTTGTGAGAATGCTTGGGTCTTCTTTTTATGTGAGGATACCCGTTTCTAACGAATTCCTCGAAGAGTTCCAAATATCCAAAAGCAGATTCTACAAAAGGAGTTTTTAAATACTGCTCTATCAAAAGACAGATTCAACTCTGACAGTAGAATGGACACATCTCAATGAAGTTCCTGAGAATGCTTCTGTCTAGTTTGTATGTGAAGATATTTCCTTATCCACCATAGGCTTCAAAGCGCTCCAAATGCACACTTGCAGGTCCTACAAAAAGACTGTTTCAAAACTGCTCTACCAAAAGAAAGCTTCCACTCTATTAGGTGAATACACACATCACAAAGCAGTTTCTGAGTATGCTTCTTTCTAGTTTGTATGTGAAGGTATTTCCTTTATCCCTCTTAGGCCTCAAATCATTACAAATATCCCCTTGTAGATACCACAGAAAGATTGTTTCAAAACCTCTCTCAAAAGGAAGGTTCAACTCTGTGAGTTGAATGCAAACATCACAAAGCAGTTTCTGAGAATTCTTCTGTCTAGTTTTTATGTGAAGATATTTCCTTTTCATTCACAGGCCTCAAATCGCTCCAAATATCCACTGGCAGATACTCCAAAAAGACTGTTTCAAAACTGCTCTCTCAAAAGGAAGGTTCAACTGTGTGAGTGGAATGCACACATCACAAAGCAGTTTCTGAGAATGCTTCTGTCTAGTTAGTATGTGAAGATATTTCGTTTTCCATCATAGGCCTCAAATTGCTTCAAATATCCACTTGCAGATACTACAAAAGACTGTTTCAAAACTGCTCTCGCAAAAGGAAGGTTCAAGTCTGTGAGTTGAATGCACACATCACAAAGCAGTTTCCGAGAATGCTTCTGTCTAGTTTGTATGTGAAGATATCCTGTTTACAACGATTTCCTCAAATAGCTCCAAATATGCACAAGCCGATTCTGCAAAAGAAGTGTTTCAAAACTGCTCTATCAAAAGAAAGGTTCAACTCTGTGAATTGAACACACACATCCCAAAGGAGTTTCTGAGAATACTTCAGTCTAGTTTTTATGTGAAGATATTTCTTTTTCCACCATAGGCGACAAAGCGCTCCAAATGAACACTTGCAGATTCTACAAAAAGTGTGTTTCAACACTGCTCTATCAAAAGAAAGGCTCAAGTCTGTGAGTTGAATGCACACATCACAAAGAACAGTCTGAGGATGCTTGGGTCTAATTTTTATGTTAAGATAACTGTTTCCAATGAATACCTCAAAGAGTCCGTAAAATCCACCAGTGGATTCTACAAAAGGAGTTTTTCAATACTGCCCTATCAAGACACAGATTCAACGCTGTTAGTTGAATGCACACATCAAAAAGCAGTTCCTGAGAATGCTTCTGTCTAGTTTTTATGTGAAGATATTTCCTTTTCCACCGTAGGCTTCAAAGCACTCCAAATGAATATTTGCAGATCCTACAAAAAGACGGTTTCAAAGCTGCTCTATCAAAAGAACGATAACACTCTTTGAGGTGAATGCACACATCACAAAGCAGTTTCTGAGAATGCTTCTTTCTAGTTTGTACGTGATTATATTTCCATTTCCATCTTAGGCCTCAAATCACTCCTAATATTCACTTGCAGATACTACAAAAAGACTGTTTCAAAACTGCTCTCTCAAAAGGAAGGTTCAACTCTCTGAGTTGAATGCACACATCACAGAGCAGTTTCTGAGAATACTTCTGTCAAGTTTGTATGTGAAGATATCCCGTTTACAACGAATTCCTCAAAGAGCTCCAAATATCCACAAGCAGAGACTACAAAAGCCGTGTTTCAAAACTGCTCTATCAAAAGAAAGGTTCAACTCCGGGAATTGAACACACACATCACAAAGTAGATTCTGAGAATGCTTCTGTCTAGTTTGTATGTGAATATATCCCGTTTACAATGAATTCCTGAAAGAGCTCCAAATATCCACAAGCAGATTCTACAAAAGCAGTGTTTCACAACTTCTCTACCAAAAAAAAGGTTCAAGTCTGTGAATTGAACACACAGACCACAAAGTTGTTTCTGAAAATGCTTCTGTCTAGTTGTAATGTGAAGATATTTCTTTTTCCACCATAGACAAAAAATCGCTCCAAATGAACACTTGCAGATTCTACAAACTGGGTGTTTCAACGCTGCTCTATCAAAAGAAAGGTTCAAGTCTGTGAGTGGAAGGCACATATCACAAAGAAATTTCTGAGAATGATCCTGTCTAGTTTGTATGTGGAGATATTTCCTTTTCCATCTTAGGCCTCAAATCACTCCTAATATCCACTTGCAGATACTACAAAAAGACTCTTTCAAAACTGCTCTCTCAAAAGGAAGGTTCAACTCTGTGATTTGAATGCACACATCACAAAGCAGTTTCTGAGAATGCTTCTGTCTATTTTCTATGTGAAGATATCCTGTTTACAACGAATTCCTTGAGGAGATCCAAATATCCACAAGCAGATTCTACAAAAGCAGGGTTTCAAAACTGCTCTATCAAAAGAAAGGTTCAACTCTGTGAATTAAACACACACAACAAAGGAGTTTCTGAGAATGCTTCCGTCTAGTTTTAATGTGAAGATATTTCTTTTTCCACCATAGCCAACAAAGCGCTCCAAATGAACAATTGCAGATTTTACAAAAAATGTGTTTCAACACTGTTCTATGAAAGGAAACTATCAAGTCTGTGAGTTGAATGCACAGATCATAAAGTACTTTCTGGGAAAGCTTGGGTCTCCTTTTTATGTGAAGATACCCGTTTCCAAAGAATTCCTCAAAGAATTCCAAATATAAACAGGTACATTCTACAAAAGGAGTGTTTCAATACTGCTCTGTCAAAAGACAGATTTAACTCTGTTAGTTGAGTGCACACATCTCAATGAAGTTCCTGAGAATGCTTCTGTCTAGTTTGTATGTGAAGATATTTCCTTTTCCACCATAGGCTTCAAAGTGCTCCAAATGAACACTTGCAGGTCATAAAAAAAGACTGTTTCAAAACTATTCTATCAAAAGAACGGTTCCAATCTGTCAGGTGAATGCACACACCACAAAGCAGTTTCTGAGAATGCTTCTGTCTAGTTTGTATGTGAATATATTTCCATTTCAATCTTAGGCCTCAAATCACTCCTAATATCCACTTGCAGATACTACAAAAAGACTGTTTCAAAACTGTTCTCTTAAAAGGAAGGTTCAACTCTGTGAGTTGAATGCACACATCACAGAGCTGTTTCCGAGAATGCTTCTGTCTAGTTTGTATGTGAGGATATCCCGTTTACAACGAATTCCTCAAAGAGCTCCAAATATCCACAAGCAGATTCTACAAAAGCAGTGTATGAAAACTGCTCTATGGGGAGTGGGTGAAGATGGCTGAATAAGAAGAGCTCCGGTTTACAGCTCCCAGCGTGAGCGACGCAGAAGAAGGTGATTTCTGCATTTCCATCTGTGGTACCGGGTTCATCTCACTAGGGAGTGCCAGACAGTGGGCACAGGTCAGTGGGTATGCGCACCGTGCACGAGCTGAAGCAGGGCAAGGCATTGCCTCACTTGGGAAGCACAAGGTGTCAGGGATTTCCCTTTCTGAGTCAAAGAAAGGGGTGAGGGAAGGCACCTGGAAAATCGGGCCACTACCACCCGAATACTGCGCTTTTCCGACGGGCTTAAAAAACGGCGCACCTCGAGATTATATCCGGCACCTGGCTCGGAGGGTCCTACCCATACGGAGTCTCACTGATCGCTAGCACAGCAGTCTGAGATCAAACTGCAAGTCTGCAGTGAGGCTGGGGGAGTGGCGCCCCCCATTGCCCAGGCTTGATTAGGTAAACAAAGCAGCCGGGAAGCTCCAACTGGGCGGAGCCCACCACAGCCCAAGGAGACTTGCCTGCCTCTGTAGGCTCCACCTCTGGGGGCAGGGCACAGACAAACAAAAAGACAGCAGTAACCTCTGCAGTCTTAAATGTCCCTGTCAGACAGCTTTGAAGAGAGCAGTGGTTCTCCCAGCACCCAGCTGGAGATCTGAGAACGGGCAGACTGCCTCCTCAAGTGGGTCCCTGACCCATGACCCCTGAGCAGCCTAACTGGGAGGCACCCCCAGCAGGGGCACACTGACACCTCACACGGCAGGGTATTCCAACAGACCTGCAGCTGAGGGTCCTGTCTGTTAGAAGGAAAACTAAGAAACTGAAAGGACATCCACACCAAAAACCCATCTGTACATCACCATCATCAAAGACCAAAAGTAGATAAAACCACAAAGATGGGGAAAAAACAGAGCAGAAAAACTGGCAACTCTGTTAAGCAGAGCACCTCTCCTCCTCCAAAGGAACGCAGTTCCTCACCAGCAACGGAACAAAGCTGGACGGAGAATGACTTTGACGAGCTGAGAGAAGAAGGCTTCAGACAATCAAATTACTCTGAGCTACGGGAGGACATTCAAACCAAAGGCAAAGAAGTTGAAAACTTTGAAAAAAATTTAGAAGAATGTATAACTAGAATAACCAGTAAAGAGAAGTGCTTAAAGGAGCTGATGGAGCTGAAACCCAAGGCTTGAGAACTACCTGAAGAATGCAGAAGCCTCAGGAGCCAATGCAATCAACTGGAAGAAAGGGTATCAGTGCTGGAAGATGAAATGAATGAAATGAAGCTACAAAGGAAGTTTAGAGAAAAAAGAATAAAAAGAAATGAGCAAAGCCTCCAAGAAATATGGGATTATGTGAAAAGACCAAATCTAAGTCTGACTGGTGTACCTGAAAGTGATGGGGAGAATGGAACCAAGTTGGAAAACACTCTGCAGGATATTATCCAGGAGAACTTCCCCAATCTAGCAAGGCAGGCCAACGTTCAGATTCAGGAAAGATAGAGAATGCCACAAAGATAATCTTCGGGAAGAGCAATTCCCGACACAAAATTGTCAGATTCACCAAAGTTGAAATGAAGGAAAAAATGTTAAGGGCAGCCAGAGAGAAAGGTTGGGTTACCCTCAAAGGGAAGCCCATCAGACTAACAGCGGATCTCTCGGCAGAAACCCTACAAGCCAGAAGAGAGTGGGGGTCAATATTCAACATTCTTAAAGACAAGAATTTTCAATCCAGATTTTCATATCCAGCCAAACTAAGCTTCATAAGCGAAGGAGAAATAAAATACTTTACAGACAAGCAAATGCTGAGAGACTTTGTCACCACCAGGCCTGCCCTAAAAGAGCCCCTGAAGGAAGCGCTAAACATGGAAAGGAACAACCGGTACCAGCTGCTGGAAAATCATGCCAAAATGTAAAGACCATCAAGACTAGGAAGAAACTGCATCAACTAATGAGCAAAATACCCAGCTAACATCATAATGACAGGATCAAATTCACACATAACAATATTAACTTTAAATGTAAATGGACTAAATGCTCCAATTAAAAGACACAGACTGGCAAATTGGATAAAGAGTGAAGACCCATCAGTGTGCTGTATTCAGGAAACCCATCTCATGTGCAGAGACACACATAGGCTCAAACTAAAAGGATGGAGGAAGATCTACCAAGCAAATGGAAAACAAAAATGGCAGGGGTTGAAATCCTAGTCTCTGATAAAACAGACTTTAAACCAACAAAGATCAAAAGAGACAAAGAAGGCCATTACATAATGGTAAAGGGATCAATTCAACAAGAAGAGCTAACTATCCTAAATATATATGCACCCAATACAGGAGCACCCAGATTCATAAAGCAAGTCAAGAGTGAACTACAAAGAGACTTAGACACCCACACATTAATAATGGGAGACTTTAACACCCCACTGTCAACATTAGACAGATCAACAAGACAGAAAGTCAACAAGGATACCCAGGAATTGAACTCAGCTTTGCACCAAGCAGACCTAATAGACATCTACAAAACTCTCCACCCCAAATCAATAGAATATACATTTTTTTTCAGCACCACACCACACCTATTCCAAAATTGACCACATACTTGGAAGTAAAGCTCTCCTCAGCAAATGGAAAAGAACAGAAATTATAACAAACTATCTCTCAGGCCACAGTGAAATCAAACTAGAGCTCAGGATTAAGAATCTCACTCAAAACCGCTCAACCACGGAAACTGAACAACCTGCTCCTGAATGACTACTGGGTACATAACGAAATGAAGGCAGAAATAAAGATGTTCTTTGAAACCAATGAGAACAAAGACACAACATACCAGAATCTCTGGGACACATTCAAAGCAGTGTGTAGAGGGAAATTTATAGCACTACATGCCCACAAGAGAAAGCAGGAAAGATCCAAAATTGACACCCTAACATCACAATTAAAACAACTAGAAAAGCAAGAGCAAACACATTCAAAAGCTAGCAGAAGGCAAGAAATAACTAAAATCAAAGCAGAACTGAAGGAAATAGAGACAAAAAATACTTCAAAAATCTAATGAATACAGGAGCTGGTTTTTTGAAAGGATCAACAAAATTGATAGACCGCTAGCAAGACTAATAAAGAAAAAAAGAGAGAAGAATCTAATAGATGCAATAAAAATTGATAAAGGGGATATCACCACCGATCCCACAGAAATACAAACTACCATCAGAGAATACTACAAACACCTCTACGCAATTAAACTAGAAAATCTAGAAGAAATGAATAAATTCCTTGAAACATACACTCTCTCAAGACTAAACCAGGAAGAAGTTGAATCTCTGAATAGACCAATAACAGGACCTGAAATTGTGGCAAAAATCAATAGCTTACCAACCAAAAAGAGTCCAGGACCAGATAGATTCACAGCTGAATTCTATCAGAGGTACAAGGAGGAACTGGTACCATTCCTTCTGAAACTATTCCAATCAATAGAAAAAGAGGGAATCCTCCCTAACTCATTTCATGAGGCTAGCATCATTCTGATACCAAAGCCAGGCAGAGACACAACAAAAAAAGAGAATTTTAGACCAGTATCCTTGATGAACATTGATGCAAAAATCCTTAATAAAATACTGGCAAAACAAATCCAGCAGCATATCAAAAAGCTTATCCACCATGATCAAGTGGGCTTCATCCCTGGGATGCAAGGCTGGTTCAATATATGCAAATTAATAAATGTAATCCAGCATATAAACAGAGCCAAAGACAAAAACCACATGATTATCTCAATAGATGCAGAAAAAGCTTTTGACAAAATTCAACAACCTTCATGCTAAAAATTCTCAATAAATTAGGTATTGAAGGGACGTATATCAAAATAATAAGAGCTATCTATGACAAACCCACAGCCAATATCATACTGAGTGGGCAAATCTGGAAGCATTCCCTTTGAAAACTGGCATAAGACAGGGATGCCCTCTCTCAACACTCCTATTCAACATAGTGTTGGAAGCTCTGGTCAGGGCAATTAGGCAGGAGAAGGAAATAAAGGGTATTCAATTAGGAAACGAGGAAGTCAAATTGGCCCTGTTGGCAGACGACATGATTGTATATCTAGAAAACCCCATTGTCTCAGCTCAAAATCTCCTTAGGCTGATAAGCAACTTCAGCAAAGTCTCGCAAAACAAAATCAATGTACAAAAAATCAGAAGCATTCTTATAAACCAACAACAGACAAACAGAGAGCCAAATCATGAGTGAACTCCCATTCACAATTGCTGCAAAGAGAATAAAATACCTAGGAATCCAACTTACAAGGGATGTGAAGGACCTCTTCAAGGAGAACTACAAACCACTGCTCAAGGAAATAACAGAGGATACAAACAAATGGAAGAACATTCCATGCTCAAGGGTAGGAAGAATCAATATCGTGAAAATGGCCATACTGCCCAAGGCAATTTACAGATTCAATGCCATCCCCATCAAGCTACCAATGACTTTCTTCACAGAATTGGAAAAAAAATACTTTAAAGTTCATATGGAACCAAAAAAGAGCCCACATTGCCAAGTCAATCCTGAGCCAAAAGAACAATGCTGGAGGCATCACACTACCTGACTTCAAACTATACTACAAGGCTACAGTAACCAAAACAGCATGGTACTGGTGCCAAAACAGAGATATAGATCAATGGAACAGAACAGAGCCCTCAGAAATAACACCGCATATCTACAACTATCTGATCTTTGAGAAACCTGAGAAAAACAAACAATGGGGAAAGGATTCCCTATTTGATAAATGGAGCTGGGAAAAATGGCTAGCCATATGTAGAAAGCTGAAACTGGATCCCTTCCTTACACCTTATGCCAAAATCAATTCAAGATGGATTAAAGACTTAAACGTTCGACCTAAAACCATAAAAACCCTAGAAGAAAACCTAGACATTACCATTCAGGACATAGGCATGGCCAAGGACTTCATGTCTAAAACACCAAAAGCAATGGCAACAAAAGACAAAATTGACAAATGGGATCTGATTAAACTAAAGAGCTTCTGCACAGCAAAAGAAACTACCATCAGAGTGAACAGACAGCCTACAAAATGGGAGAAAATTTTAGCAACCTACTCATGTGAAAAAGGCCTAATATCCAGAATCTACAATGAACACTTACAAATTTACAAGAAAAAAACAAACAACCCCATCAAAAAGTAGGCAAAGGACATAAACAGACACTTCGCAAAAGAAGACATTTATGCAGCCAAAAAAGACATGAATAAACGCTCATCATCACTGGCAATCAGAGAAATGCAAATCAAAACCACAATGAGATACCATCTCACACCAGTTAGAATGGCAATCATTAAAACGTCAGGAAACAACAGGTGCTGGAGAGGATGTGGAGAAATAGGAACACTTTTACACTGTTGGTGGGACTGTAAACTAGTTCAACAATTGTGGAAGTCAGTGTGGTGATTCCTCAGGGATCTAGAGCAGGAAATACCATTTGACAAAGCCATCCCATTACTGGGTATATACCCAAAGGACTATAAATCATGCTGCTATAAAGACACATGCACAAGTATGTTTATTGTGGCACTATTCACAATAGGAAATACTTGGAACCAACCCAAATGTCCAACAATGATATACTGGACTAAAAAAATGTGGCACATATACACCATGGAATACTATGCAGCCATAAAACATGATGAGTTCATGTCCTTTGTAGGGACATGGATGAAATTGGAAAACATCATTCTCAGTAAACCATCACAAGAACAAAAAACGAAACACCACATATTCTCACTCATAGGTGGGAATTCAACAATGAGATCACATGGACACAGGAAGGGGATTATCACACTCTGGGGACAGTTCTGGGGTGGGGGATCGGGGTGAGGGAGAGCATTGGGAGATATACCTAATGCTAGATGACGAGTTAGTAGATGCAGTGCACCAGCATGGCACATGTACACATATGTAAATAAACTGCAAAATGAGCAAATGCACCCTAAAACATAAAGTACCTAAAAAAATAAAAAAAACTGCTCTATCAAAAGAAATTTTCAACTCTGTGAATTCAAAACACACATCACAAAGTAGTTTCTGAGAATGCTACTGTCTAGTTTCAATGTGAAGATATCCCGCTTACAACGAATTCCTCCAAGAGCTCTAAATATCTGGAAGCATATTCTACAAAAGCAGTGCTTCAAACCTGCTCTGTCAAAGGAAAGGTTCAGCTCGGGGAATTGAACACAAACATCACAAAGGAGTTTCTGAGAATGCTTCTGTCTAGTGTTTCTATGAAGATAATACTTTTTCTACCATAGGCAACAATACGCTGCAAATGAACACTTGCAGATTTCACAAAAACTGTGTTTTAACACTGCTCTATCAAAAGAAATGTCCAAGTCTGTGAGTTGATTGCACACATCACAAAGCAGTTTCGGAGAATGATTCTGTCTAGCTTTTTATGTAACGATATTTTCTTTCCACCATAGGCAACAAAGCACACGGAATGAAAACTTGCAGAATCTCCAAAAAGCGTGTTTCAACACTGCTCTATCCAAAGAAAGGTTCGAGTCCGTGAGTTGAACGCACACAACAGAAAGCAGTTTCTGAGGATGCTTCTGTCTGGATTGTATGTGAAGTCATTTCCTTTTCCATCTAAACCGCCTCAAATCGCTAAAAGATCCACTTGCACATACTACCAAAAGACTTTCAAAACTGCTCTCTCAAAAGGAAGGTTCAACTGTGTGACTTGAATGCACACATCACAAAGCAGTTTTTGAGATTGCTTCTGTCTAGTTGGTATGTGGAGATATTCCATTTACAACGAATTCCTCAAAGAGCTCCAAATATCCACAAGCAGATTCTACAAAAGCAGTGTTTTAAAACTGCTCTATCAATAGAAAGGTTCAACTCTGTTAATTGAACACACACATCCAAAGGAGTTTCTGAGAATCCTTCTGTCTACTTTTTATTTGAAGATACTTCTTTTTCCACCATAGGCAACAAAGCGCTCCAAATGAATTCTTGCGGATTCTACAAAAAGCGTGTTTCTACACTGTTCTATAAAAAGAAAGTTTCAGGTAAGTGAGTTGAATGCACACATCCCAGTGAACTTTCGGAGAATGCATGGGTCTACTTTTCATGTGAAGATACACGTTTCCAACGAATTCTTCAAAGAGTTCCAAATATCCACAAGCAGATTCTACAAAAGGAGTGTTTACATGCTGGTCTATCTAAAGACAGATTAAACTCTGTTAGTTAAATGCACACATCTCAGTGAAGTTCCTGAGAATGCTTCTTTCTAGTTTTTATGTGAATATATCTCCTATTCCACCATAGGCTTCAAAGCGCTCCAAATGACAACTGGCAGATCCCAATAAAAGACTGCCTCAAAACCGCTCTATCAAAAGAAGGGTTCCACTCCAAGAGGTGAATTCACATATCACGAAGAAGTTTCTGAGAATGCTTCTGTCCAATTATTATGTGGAGATATTCCCTTTTCCATCATAGGCCTCAAGTCGCTCTAAATATCCAATTACAGATACTACAAAAGGACTGTTTCAAAACTGCTCTCTCAAAAGGAAGGTTCAAGTCCGTGAGTTGAATGCACACATCACAAAGCAGTTCCTCAGAATGATTCTGTCTAGTATGTATCTGAACTTATTTCCTTTTCCATCATAGGCCTCAAATCGCTCCAAATATCCACTTGCAAATACTACAAAAAGAATGTTTCAAAACTTCTCACTCAAAAGGAAGGTTCAACTCTGTCAGTTGAATGCACACATTACAAAGCAGTTTCTGAGAATGCTTCTGTCTATTTTTTAGGTGAAGATATCACTTTTTCCAACATACTCAAAAAAGTACTCCAAATGAACACTTGCAGATTCTACAAAAAGTATGTTTCAATACTGCTCTATCAAAAGAAAGGTTCAAAGATATGAATTGAACACACACATCACAAAGGAGGTTCAGAGAATGTTTCAGTCTAGTTTTAATGTGAAGATATCACCTTTTCCCACATAGGCAACAAAGCGCTCCAAATAAATACTTGAGGATTCTACAAAAAGTGTGTTTCAACACTGCTCTATCAAAAGAAAGTTTCAAGTCTGTGAGTTGAATGCACACATCAAAAAGAACTTTCTGAGAATGCTTGGGTCTACTTTTTATGTGAAGATACCCGTTTCCAACGAATAACTCAAAGAGTTCCAAATATACACAATCAGATACTACAAAAGGAGTGTTTCATTCCTGCTCTGTCAAAAGACAGTTTCAACTCTGTTAGTTGAATGCACACATCTCAATGAAGTTCCTGAGAAGGCTTCTGCCTAGTTTTTTTTGAAGATATTCCCTTTTCCACCATAGGCTTCACAGCGCTCCAAATGAAAACTTGCAGGTCCTACAAAAAGACTGATTCAAAACTGCTCTATCAAAAGAACGGTTCCACTCTGTTAGGTGAAGGCACACATCACAAGAAGTTTCTGAGAATGTTTCTGTCCAATTTTTATGTGAAGAAATTACTTTTTTCATCATTGGCTTCAAGTCGCTCTAAATATCCAATTTCAGATACTACAAAAAGACTGTTTCAAAACTACTCTCTCAAAAGGAAGGTTGAACTCCGTGAGTTTAAGGCACACATCACAAAGCAGTTCCTGAGAATCCTTCTGTCTAGTTTGTACCTGAAGTTATTTCCTTTTCCATCATAGGCCTCAAATCGCTCCACATATCCACTTGCAAATACTACCAAAAGACTGTTTCAAAACTTCTCTCTCAAAAGGAAGGTTCAACTCTGTGAGTTCAATGCACACATCACAAGGCAGTTTCTGAAAATGCTTCCGTCTAGTTTTTTATTTGAAGGTATTTCCTTTTCCTTCTTCGGCCTCAAATCACTGCAAATATCCACTTGCAGATACTACAAAAAGACTGTTTCAAAACCGCTCTCTCAAAAGGAAGGTTCGACTCTGTGAGTTGAATGCACACGTTACGAAGCAGTTTCTGAGAATGCTTCTGTCTATTTTTCAGGTGAAGATATCACTTTTTCCAACATACGTAAAAAAGTACTCGAAATGAACACTTGCAGATTCTACAAAAAGGATGTCTCAACACTGCTCTATCAAAAGAAAGGTTCAACGATGTGAATTGAACACACACATCACAAAGGAGTTTCAGAGAATGCCTCTGTGTAGTGTTTAAGTGACGATATTACCTTTTCCCACATAGGCAACAAAGCACTCCAAATGAATACTTGTGGGTTCTACAAAAAGTGTGTTTCAACACTACTCTATCAAAAGAAAGTTTCCAGTCTGTGAGTTGAATGCACACATCACAACGAACTTTCTGAGAATGCTTGGGTCTACTTTTTATGTGAAGATACCCGTTTCCAACGAATAACTCAAAGAGTTCCAAATATACACAATCAGATACTACAAAAGGGGTGTTTCATTCCTGCTCTGTCAAAAGACAGTTTCAACTCTGTTAGTTGAATGCACACATCTCAATGAAGTTCCTGAGAAGGCATCTGCCTAGTTTTTTGTGAAGATATTCCCTTTTCCACCATAGGCTTCAAAGCGCTCCAAATGAAAACTTGCAGGTCCTACAAAAAGACTGCTTCAAAACTGCTCTCTCAAAAGAACGGTTCCACTCTGTTAGGTGAATGCACACATCACAAGAAGTTTCTGAGAATGCTTCCGTTTAGTTTGTATGTGAAGATATTTCCTTTTCCATCATAGTACTCGAATCGCTCCAAATATCCACTTGCAGACATTACAAAAAGACTGTTTCAAAACTGCTCTCTCAAAAGGAAGGTTCAACTCTGTGAGTTGAGTGCACACATCACAATGGAGTATGTGAGAATACTTCTCTCTAGTTTGTATGTGAAGGTATTTCCTTTTCCATCCGAGGCCCCAAGTCACTACAAATATCCACTTGCAGATACTACAAACAGACTGTTTCAAAACCTCCCTCTCAAAAGGAAAGTTCAAATCTGTGAGTTGAATGCACACATCACAAAGCAGTTCCTCAGACTGCTTCTGTCTAGTTTGTATGTGAAGATATTTGCTTTTCCATCATAGGCCTCAAATCGCTCCAAATATCCACTTGCAGATACTACAAAAGACCGTTTCAACACTGCTCTCTCAAAAGGAAGGTTCAAATCTGTGGGTTGAATGCACACATCACAAAGCAGTTTCTGAGAATGCTTCTGTCTAGTTTGTATGTGAAGATATTTCCTTTTCCATCATAGGCCTCAAATCGCTCCAAATATCCACTTGCAGATACTACAAAAGGACTGTTTCAACACTGCTCTCTCAAATGGAAGGTTCAACTCTGTGAGTTGAATGCACACATCACAAAGCAGTTTCTGAGAATGCTTCTGTCTAGTTTGTATGTGAAGATATGCCTTTTACAACGTATTCCTCAAAGAGCTCCAAATATCCACAAGCAGATTCTACAAAAGCAGTGTTTCAAAACTGCTCTATCAAAGGAAAGTTTCAACTCTGTGAATTGAGCACACACATTCCAAAGCAGTTTCTAAGAATGCTTCTCTCTAGTTTTTAAGAGAAGATAATCCTTTTTCCACCATAGGCAACAAATCTCTCCAAATGAACACTAGCAGATTCTACAAAAAGTGTGTTTCAACACTGCTCTATCAAAAGAAAGGATCAAGACTTTGAGTTAAATGCACACATCACAAAGAAGTTTCTGAGAAAGCTTCTGTCTAGTTTTTATTTGAAGGTATTTCCTTTTCCTTCTTAGACCTCAAATCGCTCCAAATATCCGCTTGCAGATACTACAAAAAGACTGTTTCAAAGCCGCTCTCTCAAAAGGAAGGTTCAACTCTGTGAGTTGAATGCACATATTACAAAGCAGTTCCTGAGAATGCTTCTGTCTATTTTTTAGGTGAAGATATCACTTTTTCCAACATAGGCCACAAAGCATTTGAAATGAACACTTGCAGATTCTGCAAAATGTTTGTTTCAACACTGCTGTATCAAAAGAAAGGTTCAACAATGTGAATTGAACACACCCATCACAAAGGAGTTTCTGAGAATGCTTCTGTCTAGTTTTTATGTGAAGATATTTCTTTTTCCAACATAGGCAACAAAGCACACCAAAGAACACTTGTAGATTATACAAAAAGTGTGCTTCAACACTGCTCTATCTAAAGGAAGTTTCAAGTCTGTGAGTTAAATGCACACATCACAAAGCAGTTTCTGATAATGCTTCTGTCTAGTTTGTATGTGAAGATATTTCATTTTCCACAATACTCCACAAATCGCCGCAAATATCCACTTGCTGATATGACAAAAAGACTACTTCAAAACTGGTCTCTCAAAAGGAAGGTTCAACTGTTTGAGTTAAATGCACACATCACCAAGCAGTTCCTGAGAATGCTTCTGTCGAGTTTGTATGTGAAGATATTTCCTTTTCCATCTTAGGCCTCAAATCACTACAAATATCCACTTGCAGATACTGTAAAAAGACTGTTTCAAAACCTCTCTCTCAAAAGGAAACTTCAAGTCTAGGAGTTGACTGCACACATCACAAAGCAGTTCCTGAGACTGCTTCTGTCTAATTTGTATGTGAAGTTATTCCCTTTTCCATCATAGGTCACAAATCGCTCCAAATATCCACTTGCAGATACTACAAAAAGACTGTTTCATAACTGCTCTCTCAAAAGGAAGGTTCAACTCTGTGAGTTGAATGCGCACATCACAAAGCAGTTTCTGAGAATGCTTCTGTCTAGTTTGTATGTGAAGACATTTCCTTTTCCATCATAGGCCTCAAATCGCTCCAAATATCCACTTGCAGATACTTCAAACATACCGTTTCAACACTGCTCTCTCAAATGGAAGGTTCAACTCTGTGAGTTGAATGCACACATCACAAAGTAGTTTCTGAGAATGCTTCTGTCTAGTTAGAATGAGAAGATATCCCGTGTACAACGAATTCCTCCAAGAGCTCTAGATATCTGGAAGCAGATTCTACAAAAGCAGTGCTTCAAAGCTGCTCTATCAAAGGAAAGGTTCAGCTCAGGGAATTGAACACAAACATCACAAAGGAGTTTCTGAGAATGCTTCTGTCTAGTGTTTCTATGAAGATAATTCTTTTTCTACCATAGGCAACAATACGTTGCAAATGAACACTTGCAGATTTCACAAAAACTGTGTTTTAACACTGCTCTATCAAAAGAAATGTCCAAGTCTGTGAGTTGATTGCACACATCACAAAGCAGTTTCGGAGAATGATTCTGTCTAGCTTTTTATGTAACGATATTTTCTTTCCACCATAGGCAACAAAGCACACGGAATGAAAACTTGCAGATTCTGCAAAAAGTGTGTTTCAACACTGCTCTATCCAAAGAAAGGTTCGAGTCCGTGAGTTGAACGCACACAACAGAAAGCGGTTTCTGAGGATGCTTCTGTCTGGTTTGTATGTGAAGTCATTTCCTTTTCCAACTAAATCGCCTCAAATCGCTAAAAGATCCACTTGCAGATACTACCAAAAGACTTTCAAAACTGCTCTCTCAAAAGGAAGGTTCAACTGTGTGACTTGAATGCACACGTCACAAAGCAGTTTTTGAGAATGCTTCTGTCTAGTTGGTATGTGGAGATATTCCATTTACAACGAATTCCTCAAAGAGCTCCAAATATCCACAATCAGATTCTACAAAAGCAGTGTTTTAAAACTGCTCTATCAATAGAAAGGTTCAACTCTGTTAATTGAACACACTCATCCAAAGGAGTTTCTGAGAACCCTTCTGTCTAGTTTTTATTTGAAGATATTACTTTTTCCACCATAGGCATCAAAGCGCTCCAAAGGAACTCTAGCAGATTCTACAAAAAGCGTGTTTCTAAACTGTTCTATCAAAAGAAAGTTTCAAGTCTGTGAGTTGAATGCACACGTCCCAGTGAACTTTCGGAGAATGCATGGGTCTACTTTTCATGTGAAGATACCCGTTTCCAACGAATTCTTCAAAGAGTTCCAAATATCCACCTGCAGATTCTACAAAAGGAGTGCTTAAATGCTGGTCTATCTAAAGACAGATTCAACTCTGTTAGTTAAATGCACACGTCTCAGTGAAGTTCCTGAGAATGCTTCTTTCTAGTTTTTATGTGAACATATCACCTTTTCCACCATAGGCTTCAAAGCGCTCCAAATGAGAACTGGCAGATCTTCATAAAAGACTGCCTCAAAACCGCTCTATCAAAAGAAGGGTTCCACTCCAAGAGGTGAATTCACATATCACGAAGAAGTTTCTGAGAATGCTTCTGTCCAATTTGTATGTGAAGATATTCCCTTTTCCATCATAGGCCTCAAGTCGCTCTAAATATCCAATTTCAGATACTACAAAAAGACTGTTTCAAAACTGCTCTCTCAAAGGGAAGGTTCAAGTCCGTGAGTTGAATGCACACATCACAAAGCAGTTCCTGAGAATGCTTCTGTCTAGTTTGTATCTGAAGTTATTTCCTTTTCCATCATAGGCCTCAAATCGCTCCACATATCCACTTCCAAATACTACCAAAAGACTGTTTCAAAACTTCTCTCTCAAAAGGAAGGTTCAACTCTGTGAGTTGAATGCACACATCACAAGGCAGTTTCTGAAAATGCTTCCGTCTAGTTTTTTTATTTGAAGGTATTTCCTTTTGCTTCTTCGGCCTCAAATCACTGCAAATATCCACTTGCAGATACTACAAAAAGACTGTTTCAAAACCGCTCTCTCAAAAGGAAGGTTCAACTCTGTGAGTTGAATGCACATGTTACAAAGCAGTTTCTGAGAATGCTTCTGTCTATTTTTCAGGTGAAGATATCACTTTTTCGAACATACGCAAAAAAGAACTCAAAATGGACACTTGCAGATTCTACAAAAAGTATGTTTCAACACTGCTCTATCAAAAGAAAGGTTCAACGATATGAATTGAACACACACATCACAAAGGAGTTTCAGAGAATGCTTCTGTCTAGTTTTTAAGTGAAGATATTACTTTTTCCCACATAGGCAACAAAGGGCTTCAAATGAATACTTGTGGATTCTACAAAAAGTGTGTTTCAACACTGCTCTATCAAAAGAAAGTTTCAAGTCTGTGAGTTGAATGCACACATCACAAAGAACTTTCTGAGAATGCTTGGGTCTACTTTTTATGTGAAGATACCCGTTTCCAGCGAATAACTCAAAGAGTTCCAAATATACACAATCAGATACTACAAAAGGAGTGTTTCATTCCTGCTCTGTCAAAAGACAGTTTCAACTCTGTTAGTTGAATGCACACATCTCAATGAAGTTCCTGAGAAGGCTTCTGCCTAGTTTTTTGTGAAGATATTCCCTTTTCCACCATAGGCTTCACAGCGCTCCAAATGAAAACTTGCAGGTCCTACAAAAAGACTGCTTCAAAACTGCTCTCTCAAAAGAACGGTTCCACTCTGTTAGGTGAATGCACACATCACAAGAAGTTTCTGAGAATGCTTCCGTTTAGTTTGTATGTGAAGATATTTCCTTTTCCATCATAGTACTCGAATCGCTCCAAATATCCACTTGCAGACATTACAAAAAGACTGTTTCAAAACTGCTCTCTCAAAAGGAAGGTTCAACTCTGTGAGTTGAGTGCACACATCACAATGGAGTCTGTGAGAATACTTCTGTCTAGTTTGTATGTGAAGGTATTTCCTTTTCCATCCGAGGCCCCAAGTCACTACAAATATCCACTTGCAGATACTACAAACAGACTGTTTCAAAACCTCCCTCTCAAAAGGAAAGTTCAAATCTGTGAGTTGAATGCACACATCACAAAGCAGTTCCTCAGACTGCTTCTGTCTAGTTTGTATGTGAAGATATTTGCTTTTCCATCATAGGCCTTAAATCGCTCCAAATATCCACTTGCAGATACTACAAAAATACCGTTTCAACACTGCTCTCTCCAATGGAAGGTTCAACTCTGTGAGTTGAATGCACACATCACAAAGCAGTTTCTGAGAATGCTTCTGTCTAGTCTAGTTAGAATGTGAAGGTGTCCCGTTTACAACGAATTCCTCCGAGAGCTCTAAATATCTGGAAGCAGATTCCACAAAAGCAGTGCTTCAAACCTGCTCTGTCAAAGGAAAGGTTCAGCTCGGGGAATTGAACACAAACATCACAAAGGAGTTTCTGAGAATGCTTCTGTCTAGTGTTTCTATGAAGATAATTCTTTTTCTACCATAGACAACAATACGTTGCAAATGAACACTTGCAGATTTCACGGAAACTGTGTTTTAACACTGCTCTATCAAAACAAAGGTCCAAGTCTGTGAGTTGACTGCACACATCACAAAGCAGTTTCGGAGAATGATTCTGTCTAGCTTTTTATGTAACGATATTTTCTTTGCACCAGAGGCAACAAAGCACACGGAATGAAATCTTGCGGATTCTACAAAAAGTGTGTTTCAACACTGCTCTATCCAAAGAAAGGTTCGAGTCCGTGAGTTGAACGCACACAACAGAAAGCAGTTTCTGAGGATGCTTCCGTCTGGTTTGTATGTGAAGTCATTTCCTTTTCCATCTAAATCGCCTCAAATCGCTAAAAGATCCACTCGCAGATACTACAAAAAGACTTTCAAAACTGCTCTCTCAAAAGGAAGGTTCAACTGTGTGAGTTGAATGCACACATCACATAGCAGTTTTTGAGAACGCTTCTGTCTAGTTTGCATGTGAAGAGATTCCATTTACAACGAATTCCTCAAAGAGCTCCAAATATCCACAAGCAGAGTCTACAAAGCAGTGTTTTGAAACTG
>NT_187443.1:83585-84914 GCF_000001405.40 Homo sapiens
CGTTTCCAACGAATTCTTCAAAGAGTTCCAAGTATCCACAAGCAGATTCTACAAAAGGAGTGCTTAAATGCTGGTCTATCTAAAGAGAGATTCAACTCTGTTAGTTAAATGCACACATCTCAGTGAAGTTCCTGAGAATGCTTCTTTCTAGTTCTTATGTGAATGTATCTCCTTTTCCACCATAGGCTTCAAAGCGCTCCAAATGAGAACTGGCAGATCCTCATAAAAGACGGCCTCAAAACCGCTCTATCAAAAGAAGGGTTCCACTCCAAGAGGTGAATTCACATATCACGAAGAAGTTTCTGAGAATGCTTCTGTCCAAATTGTATGTGAAGATATTCCCTTTTCCATCATAGGCCTCAAGTCGCTCTAAATATCCAATTTCAGATACTACAAAAAGACTGTTTCAAAACTGCTCTCTCAAAGGGAAGGTTCAAGTCCGTGAGTTGAATGCACACATCACAAAGCAGTTCCTGAGAATGCTTCTGTCTAGTTTGTATCTGAAGTTATTTCCTTTTCCATCATAGGCCTCAAATCGCTCCAAATATCCACTTGTAAATACTACAAAAAGACTGTTTCAAAAGTTCTCTCTCAAAAGGAAGGTTCAACTCTGTGAGTTGAATGCACACATCACAAGGCAGTTTCTGAAAATGCTTCCGTCTAGTTTTTTATTTGAAGGTATTTCCTTTTCCTTCTTCGGCCTCAAATCACTGCAAATATCCACTTGCAGATACTACAAAAAGACTGTTTCAAAACCGCTCTCTCAAAAGGAAGGTTCGACTCCGTGAGTTGAATGCACACGTTACGCAGCAGTTTCTGAGAATGCTTCTGTCTATTTTTCAGGTGAAGATATCACTTTTTCCAACATACGTAAAAAAGTACTTGAAATGAACACTTGCAGATTCTACAAAAAGGATGTTTCAACACTGCTCTATCAAAAGAAAGGTTCAGTCCCAGCTACTCGGGAGGCTGAGGCAGGAGAATGGCGTGAACCCGGGAGGCGGACTGGCAGTGAGCCGAGATCTTACCTTTTCCCACATAGGCGACAAAGCGCTCCAAATGAATACTTGTGGGTTCTACAAGAAGTGTGTTTCAACACTGCTCTATCAAAAGAAAGTTTCCAGTCTGTGAGTTGAATGCACACATCACAATGAACTTTCTGAGAATGCTTGGGTCTACTTTTTATGTGAAGATACCCGTTTCCAACGAATAACTCAAAGAGTTCCAAATATACACAGTCAGGTACTGCAAAAGGAGTGTTTCACTCCTGCTCTGTCAAAAGACAGTTTCAACTCTGTTAGTTGAATGCACACATCTCAATGAAGTTCC
>NT_187443.1:86579-91309 GCF_000001405.40 Homo sapiens
AAGCAGTTCCTGAGAATGCTTCTGTCTAGTTTGTATCTGAAGTATTTCCTTTTCCATCATAGGCCTCAAATCGCTCCACATATCCACTTGCAAATACTACAAAAAGACTGTTTCAAAAGTTCTCTCTCAAAAGGAAGGTTCAACTCTGTGAGTTGAATGCACACATCACAAGGCAGTTTCTGAAAACGCTTCCGTCTAGTTTTTTATTTGAAGGTATTTCCTTTTCCTTCTTCAGCCTCAAATCACTGCAAATATCCACTTGCAGATACTACAAAAAGACTGTTTCAAAACCGCTCTCTCAAAAGGAAGGTTCGACTCTGTGAGTTGAACGCACACGTTACGAAGCAGTTTCTGAGAATGCTTCTGTCTATTTTTCAGGTGAAGATATCACTTTTTCCAACATACGTAAAAAAGTACTCGAAATGAACACTTGCAGATTCTACAAAAAGGATGTCTCAACACTGCTCTATCAAAAGAAAGGTTCAACGATGTGAATTGAACACACACATCACAAAGGATTTTCAGAGAATGCTTCTGTCTAGTGTTTAAGTGACGATATTACCTTTTCCCACATAGGCAACAAAGCGCTCCAAATGAATACTTGTGGGTTCTACAAAAAGTGTGTTTCAACACTGCTCTATCGAAAGAAAGTTTCAAGTCTGTGAGTTGAATGCACACATCACAACGAACTTTCTGAGAATGCTTGGGTCTACTTTTTATGTTAAGGTACCTGTTTCCAACGAATAACTCAAGGAGTTCCAAATATACACAGTCAGATACTGCAAAAGGAGTGTTTCATTCCTGCTCTCTCAAAAGACAGTTTCAACTCTGTTAGTTGAATGCACACATCTCAGTGAAGTTCCTGAGAAGGCTTCTGCCTAGTTTTTTGTGAAGATATTCCCTTTTCCACCATAGGCTTCACAGCACTCCAAATGAAATTTTGCAGGTCCTACAAAAAGACTGATTCAAATCTGCTGTCTCAAAAGGAAGGTTCAACTGTGTGAGTTGAATGCACACATCACAAAGCAGTTCCTGAGAATGCTTCTGTCTAGTTTGTATGTGAAGATATTTCCTTTTCCATCATAGGCCTCAAATCGCTCCAAATATCCACTTGCAGATACTACAAAAATACCGTTTCAACACTGCTCTCTCCAATGGAAGGTTCAACTCTGTGAGTTGAATGCACATATCACAAAGCAGTTTCTGAGAATGCTTCTGTCTAGTCTAGTTAGAATGTGAAGATATCCCGTTTACAACAAATTCCTCCGAGAGCTCTAAATATCTGGAAGCAGATTCTACAAAAGCAATGCTTCAAACCTGCTCTGTCAAAGGAAAGGTTCAGCTCGGGGAATTGAACACAAACATCAGAAAGGAGTTTCTGAGAATGCTTCTGTCTAGTGTTTCTATGAAGATAATTCTTTTTCTACCATAGGCAACAATACGCTGCAAATGAACACTTGCAGATTTCACAAAAACTGTGTTTTAACACTGCTCTATCAAAACAAAGGTCCAAGTCTGTGAGTTGACTGCACGCGTCACAAAGCAGTTTCGGAGAATGATTCTGTCTAGCTTTTTATGTAACGATATTTTCTTTGCACCAGAGGCAACAAAGCACACGGAATGAGATCTTGCGGATTCTACAAAAATTGTGTTTCAACACTGCTCTATCCAAAGAAAGGTTCGAGTCCGTGAGTTGAACTCACACAACAGAAAGCAGCTTCTGAGGATGCTTCTGTCTGGTTTGTATGTTAAGTCATTTCCTTTTCCATCTAAATCGCCTCAAATCGCTAAAAGTTCCACTCGCAGGTACTACAAAAGGACTTTCAAAACTGCTCTCTCAAAAGGAAGGTTCAACTGTGTGAGTTGAATGCACACATCACATAGCAGTTTTTGAGAATGCTTCTGTCTAGTTTGTATGTGAAGAGATTCCATTTACAACGAATTCCTCAGAGAGCTCCAAATATCCACAAGTAGATTCTACAAAAGCAGTGTTTTGAAACTGCTCTATCAATAGAAAGGTTCAACTCTGTTAATTGATCACACACATCCTAAGGAGTTTCTGAGAATCCTTCTGTCTAGTTTTTATTTGAAGATATTTCTTCTTCCACCATAGGCAACAAAGCGCTCCAAAGGAACTATTGCGGATTCTACAAAAAGCGTGTTTCTACACTGCTCTATCAAAAGAAAGTTTCAAGTCTGTGAGTTGAATTGCACACATCCCAGTGAACTTTCGGAAAATGCATGGGTCTACTTTTCATGTGAAGATACCCGTTTCCAACGAATTCTTCAAAGAGTTCCAAGTATCCACAAGCAGATTCTACAAAAGGAGTGCTTAAATGCTGGTCTATCTAAAGACAGATTCAACTCTGTTAGTTAAATGCACACATCTCAGTGAAGTTCCTGAGAATGCTTCTTTCTAGTTTTTATGTGAATATATCTCCTTTTCCACCATAGGCTTTAAAGCGCTCCAAATGAGAACTGTCAGATCCTCATAAAAGACGGCCTCAAAACCGCTCTATCAAAAGAAGGGTTCCACTCCAAGAGGTGAATTCGCATATCACGAAGAAGTTTCTGAGAATGCTTCTGTCCAGTTTTTATGTGAGGATATTCCCTTTTCCATCATAGGCCTCAAGTCGCTCTAAATATCCAATTTCCGATACTACAAAAAGACTGTTTCAAAACTGCTCTCTCAAAGGGAAGGTTCAAGTCCGTGAGTTGAATGCACACATCACAAAGCAGTTCCTGAGAATGCTTCTGTCTAGTTTGTATCTGAAGTTATTTCCTTTTCCATCATAGGCCTCAAATCGCTCCAAATATCCACTTGCAAATACTACAAAAAGACTGTTTCAAAAGTTCTCTCTCAAAAGGAGGTTCAATTCTGTGAGTTGAATGCACACATCACAAGGTAGTTTCTGAAAACGCTTCCGTCTCGTTTTTTATTTGAAGGTATTTCCTTTTCCTTCTTCGGCCTCAAATCACTGCAAATATCCACTTGCAGATACTACAAAAAGACTGTTTCAAAACCGCTCTCTCAAAAGGAAGGTTCGACTCTGTGAGTTGAATGCACACGTTACGAAGCAGTTTCTGAGAATGCTTCTTTCTATTTTTCAGGTGAATATATCACTTTTTCCAACATACGTAAAAAAGTACTCGAAATGAACACTTGCAGATTCTACAAAAAGGATGTTTCAACACTGCTCTATCAAAAGAAAGGTTCAACGATGTGAATTGAACACACACTTCACAAAGGAGTTTCAGAGAATGCTTCTGTCTAGTGTTTAGGTGACGATATTACCTTTTCCCACATAGGCAACAAAGCGCTCCAAATGAATACTTGTGGGTTCTACAAAGAGTGTGTTTCAACACTGCTCTATCAAAAGAAAGTTTCCAGTCTGTGAGTTGAATGCACACATCACAACGAACTTTCTGAGAATGCTTGGGTCTACTTTTTATGTGAAGATACCCGTTTCCAATGAATAACACAAAGAGTTCCAAATATACACAGTCAGGTACTGCAAAAGGAGTGTTTCACTCCTACTCTGTCAAAAGACAGTTTCAACTCTGTTAGTTGAATGCACACATCTCAGTGTAGTTCCTGAGAAGGCTTCTGCCTAGTTTTTTGTGAAGATATTCCCTTTTCCACCATAGGCTTCACAGCGCTCCAAATGAAAACTTGCAGGTCCTACAAAAAGACTGATTCAAAACTGCTCTCCCAAAAGGAAGGTTCAACTGTGTGAGTTGAATGCACACATCACAAAGCAGTTCCTGAGAATCCTTCTGTCTAGTTTGTATGTGAAGATATTTCCTTTTCCATCATAGGCCTCAAATCGCTCCAAATATCCACTTGCAGATACTACAAAAATACCGTTTCAACACTGCTCTCTCCAATGGAAGGTTCAACTCTGTGAGTTGAGTGCACACATCACAATGCAGTTTCTGAGAATACTTCTGTCTAGTTTGTACGTGAAGGTATTTCCTTTTCCATCTTAGGCCCCAAATCACTACAAATATCCACTTGCAGATACTACAAAAAGTCTGTTTCAAAACCTCTCTCTCAAAAGGAAAGTTCAAATCTGTGAGTTGAATGCACACATCACAAAGCAGTTCCTGAGACTGCTTCTGTCTAGTTTGTATGTGAAGATATTTCCTTTTCCATCATAGGCCTCAAATCGCTCCAAATATCCACTTGCCCATTCTACAAATGAGTGTTTCAAAACTGCTCAATCAAACGAAAGGAACCACTATGTGAGATGAATACACACATCACAATGTAGTTCCTGAGAATGTTTCTATCTACTTTGTATGTGAAGTTATTTCCTTTTCCTCCATAGGTTTCAAAGCGCTTCAAATTTCCATTTGCAGACAC
Organism: Homo sapiens; assembly: GCF_000001405.40. Taxonomy (NCBI): domain Eukaryota; kingdom Metazoa; phylum Chordata; class Mammalia; order Primates; family Hominidae; genus Homo; species Homo sapiens. The sequence goes on from NT_187443.1 coordinate 90,946, forward strand.
TATAAAAAGGTTATTTCCAAATTGCTCAATGAAAGGTAAGGTTCAAATATTGAGATGAATGCACACATCACAAGGAATTTTCTCAGAATGCTTCTGGCTTGTTTTTATGTGAAGATTGTTCCTTTTCCACCATAGGCCTCAATGAGCTCCAAAGAGCCATTTGTGGATAATACAAAAAGAATATCTCCGAACTGCTCCATCAAAGGAAATGTTCAACTGTGTGATATGAGTGCACTCATAAGAAAGAAGTTTCTCAGAATGCTTCTGTGTAGTTTTTATGTGAAGATATTTCCTTTTCCACTATAGGCCTCAAAGCGCTCCAAATATCCATTTGCAGATACTGCAAAAGACTGTTCCAAACTGC
>NT_187444.1:0-1202 GCF_000001405.40 Homo sapiens
CTGCTCTATGATAGGGAATGTTCAACTCTGTGTCCTGATACAAACATCACAAAGATGTTTCTCAGAACGCTGCAGTCTGCAATTTGTATGAATTCCCGCTTCCAACGCAATCCTCAAAACTAACCAAATATCCACTTGCAGACTCCACAAAAAGAGCATTTCAAAACTGCTCTATCAAAAGAAAGGTTCAACTTTGTTAGCTGAGTAGATACAGCATAAACAAGTTTCTGAGAATGCTTCTGTCCAGTTTTTATGGGAAGATATTTCCTTTTTCACCTTAGCCCTGAAAGCACTCCAAATGTCCACTTCCAGATACCACAAAAGGGGAGTTTCAAGACTGCTCTATGAAAGGGAGTGTTCAACTTTTGACTTGAATGCGAACATCAGAAAGAAGTTTCTCAGAACGCTGCTGTGTGCTTTTTATATGTATTCCCGTTTCCAACGAAATCCTCAAAGCCAGCCAAATATCCACTTGCAGATTCCACAAAAAGAGTGTTTCAAAACTCCTCTCTCAAAAGAAATGTTCAACTCTGTCAGTTGAGGACACACATCACAAATAAGTTTCTGAGAATGCTTCTGTCTAGTTTTTTTGGGAAGATATTTCCTTTTTCACCATAGGCCTCAAAGCGCTCCAAATGTCCACTTCCAGGTAATGGAAAAAGAGTGTTTCAAACATGCTCTATGAAAGCGAATGTTCAACTCTGTGACTTGAATGCAACCATCACAAGGAAGTTTCTGATAATACTTCTCTCTAGATTTTATATGAAGATATTCCCGTTTCCAACGAAATCCACAAAGCTATCGAAATATCCACTTGCAGATTCTACAAAAAGAGTGTTTCAAAACTGCTCTATCAAAAGAAAGGTTCTACCCCTTTAGTTGAGGACACACATCACGAGTAAGTTTCTGAGAATGCTTCTGTCTAGTTTTTATGGGAAGATATTTCCTTTTTCACCTGAGGCCGGAAAGCGCTCCAAATGTCCACTTCCAGATACTACAAAAGGAGTGATTCAAACCTGCTCTATGATAGGGAATGTTCAACTCTGTGTCCTGAATACAAACATCACAAAGATGTTTCTCAGAACGCTGCAGTCTGCAATTTGTATGAATTCCCGCTTCCAACGAAATCCTCCATACTAGCCAAATATCCACTTGCAGATTCCACAAAAAGAGCGTTTCAAAACTTCTCTAGAAAAGAAAGT
>NT_187445.1:0-1599 GCF_000001405.40 Homo sapiens
CTTGGAAAGGGGATTACATATACAAAGTAGACAGTAGCATTCTCAGAAGCTTCTCTGTGATGTTTGCTTTTAAGTCACAGAGTTGAGAATTCCCTTTCATAGAGCAGGTTTGAAACACTCTTTCTGTAGTATCTGGAAGTGGACATTTCGAGGGCTTTCAGGCCTATGGTGAAAAAGGAAATATCTTCCCATAAAAACTAGACAGAAGCATTCTCAGAAACTTATTTGTGAAATGTGTCCTCAAGTAACAGAGTTGAACCTTTCTTTTGGTACAGCAGTTTGGAAACACCCTTTTTGTAGAATCTGCAAGTGGATATTTGGATAACTTTGAAGATTTCGTTGGAAACAGGAATATCTTCATGTGAAATCGAGACAGAAGCATTCTCAGAAACTGCTTTGTGATCTCTGCATTCACGTCACAGAGTTCAACATTCGCTTTCATAGAGCATGTTTGAAACACTCTTTCTGCAGTATCTGGATGTGGACACTTGGAGCGCTTTGACGCTTACGGTGCAAAAGGAAATATCTTCCCATAAAAATTAGACAGAAGCATTCTCACAAACTGGTTTGTGATGTATGTCCTCAACTAACAGAGTTGAACCTTTCTATTTACAGAGCTGTTTTGAAAGACTCTATTGGAGAATCTGCAAGTGGATATTTGGAAAGCTTTAAGGATTTCATTGTAAACCGGAATATCTTCAGGTAAAATCTCGAAAACGGCATTCTCAGAAACTTCTTTGTGATGTGTGTCCTCAAGTAACAGAGTACAACCAGTCTTTTGATACAGCAGTTTGGAAACACTCTTTCTGTAGAATCTGCAAGTGGGTATTTGGATAGCTCAAGCTATTTCGTTGGAAGCGGGAATAGCTTCATATAAACTCTAGACAGAAGCACTCTCAGAAACTACTTTGTGATATCTGTATTCAAGTCACAGAGTTGAATATTCCCTTTCTTAGAGCAGGTTTGAAAGCGTCTTTTCGTGGAATCTGCAGGAGGATATTTGGATAGCTTTGGGGATTTCGTCGGAAACGGGATTACATATACAAAGTAGACAGCAGCATTCTCAGAAGCTGCTTTGTGATGTTTGCTTTTAAGTCACAGAGTTGAACATTCCCTTTCAGAGAGCAGGATTCAAACACTCTTTCTGTAGTATCTGGAAGAGGACATTTCGAGCGCTTTCAGGCCTATGGTGAACAAGGAAATATCTTCCCATACAAACTTGAGAGAAGCATTCTCACAAACTGGTTTGGGATGTATGTCCTCAGCTAACAGAGTACAACCTGTCTTTTGATACAGCAGTATTGAAACACACTTTCTGTAGAATCTGCAAGTGGATATTTGGATAGCTCTAACGATTTCGTTGGAAACGAGAATACTTTAGTATAAAATCTAGACACAGGCACTCTCAGAAACTGCTCTGTGATATGTGCATTCAAGTCACAGAGTTGAACATTCCCTTTATGTAGAGCAGGTTTGAAACACTGTTTTTGTAGCATCTGGAAGTGGACATTTGGAGCGCTTTGACGCCTTTGCTGAAAGAGAAATATCTTCTCTTCAAACTAGACAGAAGCATTCCCAGAAACTTCTTTGTGATGTGTG
>NT_187446.1:0-1400 GCF_000001405.40 Homo sapiens
CACATGATAAGAAAATGATAAGGATTAAGAAAATGTGACACATATACACCATGGAATACTATGCAGCCATAAAAAATAATGAGTTCATGTCCTTTGTAGGGACATGGATGAAATTGGAAATCATCATTCTCAGTAAACTATCACAAGAACAAAAAACCAAACATCGCATATTCTCATTCATAGGTGGGAATTGAACGATGAGAACACATGGACACAGGAAGGAGAACATCACAGTCTGGGGACTGTTGTGGGGTGGGGGGAGGGGGGAGGGATAGCATTCGGAGATATATCTAATGTTAGATGACGACTTAGTGGGTGCAGTGCAGCAGCATGGCACATGTATACATATGTAACTAACCTGCACATTGTGCACATGTACCCTAAAACTTAAAGTATAATAATAATTAAAAAAATTAAAAAAAAAACAAAGATGAGAAATAACCTGTAGTTATATGACTTAAGTTTAGAGTGAGTTTTATTTTTTGCTCTGCTTGATAAGTATTAGGATAATGCAAGTGTATACTATTCAGTTTAAATAGATAAAGAATTTTTTAATCACAGCTTGAACGGATAAATATTCTTTTTGTTCATCTGAATAATTAAAAATAATATTGCTAGTGTAAAATCACTCCCATATTGCTTTGATTTGTAAGGTCAACCTCGTTTAAATAAAAAGAAAAACAATGTTAAAAAAAAAGAGCTCCTTAAAGAAGCGCTAAACATGGAAAGGAACAAGTGGTACCAGCCACTGCAAAAACATGCCAAATTGTAAAGACCATCGAGGCTACAAAGAAACTGCATCAACTAACGAGCAAAATAACCAGCTGACATCTTAATGACAGGATCAAATTCACACATAACTATATTAACCTTAAAGGTAAATGGGCTATATGCTCCAATTATAAGGCACAGACTGGCAAATTGGATAAAGAGTCAAGACCCATCAGTGTGCTGTACTCAGGAAACCCATCTCATGTGCAGAGACAAACATAGTCTCAAAATAAAGGGATGGAGGAATATCGACCAAGCAAATGGAAAACAAAAAAAGGCAGGGGTTGCAATCCTAGTCTCTCATAAAACAGACTTTAAACCAACAAAGATCAAAAGAGACAAAGAAGGCCATTAGATAATGGTAAAGGATCAATTCAACAAGAGGAGCTAACTATCCTAAATATATATGCACCCAATACAAGATCACCCAGATTCATAAAGCAAGTCCTTAATGACATACAAAGGGACTTAGACTCCCACACAATAATAATGGGAGATTTTAATACCCTACTGTCAACATTAGACAGATCAATCAGACAGAAAGTTAACAAGGATACCCAGGAATTGAAGTCAGCTCTGCACCAAGCGGACCTAATAGACATCTACAAAACTCTCCACCTCAAATCAAC
>NT_187447.1:0-2969 GCF_000001405.40 Homo sapiens
TACAAAAAGAGTGTTTCAAAACTGCTCAATCAAAAGAAAGGTTCTACTCTGTGAGGTGAATGCACGCATCACAAAGTGGTTTCTCAGAATGCTTCTGCATAGTTTTTATGTGAAGATATTTCCTTCTCCACCATAGGCCTCAAAAGGCTCCAAATATCCACTTGCAGATTCTAAAAAAAGAGTGTTTCAAAACTGCTCAATCCAAAGAAAGGTTCTACTCTGTGAGATGAATGCACACATCACAAAGTAGTTTCTCAGAATGCTTCTGCATAGTTTTTATGTGAAGATATTTCCTTCTCCACTATAGGCCTCAAAAGGCTCCAAATATCCACTTGCAGATTCTGAAAAAAGAGTGTTTCAAAACTGCTGTGTCAAAAGAAAGATTCAACTCTGTTAGATGAATGCACAGATCACAAAGAAGTTTCTCAGGTTGCTTCTGTGTAGTTTTTATGTGAAGATATTTGTTTTTCCACAGTAGGCCCCAATGAGCTACAAATATCCACTCGCAGATTCTGTAAAAAGAGAGATTCAAAACTGCTGAATCAAAAGATAGGTTCAACACTGTGACTTCAGTGCACACCTCACAAAGAAGTTTCTCAGAATGCTTCTTTGTAGTTTTGATATGAAGATATCTCCTTCTCCAAAATAGATCTCAAAGCCCTCCAAATATTCACTTCCAGATTCTATGGAAAGAGTCTCAAAACTGCTCAGTCAAAATAAAGGTAGAACTCTGTGAGAAGAATGCACACATCACAAAGAAGTTTCTCAGAATATATTTGTGTAGTTTTTATTTGAGGATAGTTCCTTTTCTACCATAGGCTGCAAAGGGCTCCAAATATCCACTTGCAGATGGTACAAAGAGAGAGATTCTAAACTGCTCAATCAAAAGGTAGTTTCAACCCTGTGATATGAATGCACACATCCCAGAGAAGTTTCTCAAAATGCTTCTGTTTAGTTTTTATTTGAAGATATTTCCTTTTCCACCATACGCCTCAAAGGTCTCCAAATATCCACATGCTGCTTCTACAAAAAGAGAGATTAAAAAATGTTCTATCAAAATATAGGTTCAACTCTGTGAGTTGAATGCGCACATCACAAAAAGTTTCTCAGAATGCTTCTGTGTAGTTTTTACGTGAAGATATCTCCTTTTCCACAATAGGCCTCAAAGCTCTCCAAATATCCGCAAGCAGAGTCTACAAAGAGAGAGATTCAAAACTGCTCAATGAAAAGATAGGTTCAACTCTGTGAGATGAGTGCACATCTCACAAAGAAGTTCCTCAGAATGCTTCTGTGTAGTTTTTATGTGAAGATATTTCCTTTTCCGAAATAGACCTCAAAGTCCTCCAAATATCCACTTCCAGACTCTATAAAAAGGTGTTTCAAAACTACTCAATCAAAAGAAAGGTTCAACTATATGAGATAAATGCACACATCACAAAATGGTTTCTCAGAATGCTTCTGTGTAGTTTTTATTTGAAGATATTTTCTTTTCCACCATGGGCCACAAAGGGCTACTAAAACCCACTTGCAGATTCTACAAAAAGAGAGATTCAAAACGGCTCAATCAAAAGATAGGCTCTCCCCTGTGAATTGAATGCACACATCACAAAGAAGTTTCTCAGAATGTTTCTGTGTAGTTTTTTTTTTGAAGATATTTCCTTTTCCACAGTACGCCTCAAAGCGCTCCAAACATCCATTGCTAATTCTTCAAAAAGATCGCTTCAACACTGCTCTATAAAAAGGAAGTTTCAACTCCATTAGATGACTGCACACATCACAAAGAAGTTTCTCAGAATGCCTCTGTGTAGTTTGTATGTGAAGATATTTCCTTTTCCACAGTAGGCCACAAAGGGCTCCAAATATCTACTTGCAGAATCTTCAAAAAGAGTGTTTCAAAAGTTCTCAATCAAAAGAAAAGTTAAACTCCATGAGATGAATGCATACATCACAAAGAAAGTTCTGAGAATGCTTCTGTCTTGTTTTTATGTGAAGATATTTGATTCTCTCCTGTAGGCAACAAGGCGCTCCAAATATCCACTTTCAGATACTACAAAAAGAGTGTTTTGAAACTGCTCAATCATATGATAGGTTCAACCTTGTGAGATGAATGCCCACATCACAAAGTAGCTTCTCAGAATGTTTTTGTGTAGTTTTTATTTGAAGATATTTCCTTTTCCACCATAGGCCACAAAGGGCTCCAAACTTCCACTTGCAGATTCTACAAAAAGAGAGATTCAAAGCTGTTCAATCAAAAGATAGTTTCAACTCTGCGTGTTGAATGCACAAATCACAAAGTAGTTTCTCTGAATGCTTCTGTGTTGTGTTTGTTTATGTGAAGATATTTGCTTTTCCACTATAGGGCAAAATAGGGCTCCAAATATCCACTTGCAGATTCTGCAAAAAGGGAGATTCAAAACTGTACAATCAAAAGATAAGTTCAAATATGTGAGTTGAATGCACACAAAACAAAGAAGTTTCTCAGAATACCTCTGTGTAGTTTTTAGGTGAATATATTTGATTTTCCACAGTAGGCCTCAAAGGGCTCCAAATATCCACTTTCAGATTCTGAAATAAGAGAGATTCAAAACTGCTCAATCAAACGATAGGTTCAAATCTGTGAGTTGAATGCACACCTCACAAAGAAGTTTCTCATAAAGTTTCTGTGTAGTTTTTATGTGAAGATATCTCCTTCTCCAAAATAGGCCCCAATGACCTCCAAATATGCACTTCCAGATTCCATGACAATAGTGCTTCAAAACTGCTCAATCCAAAGAAATGTTCAACACTGTGTGATGAATGCACTCATCACAAAGAAGTTTCTCTGAATGCTTCTGTGTATTTTGTATTTGAAGATATTTCCTCTTCCACCATAGGGCTCATAGGGCTCCAAATATCCACTTGCAGATTCTACAAAAAGAGTATTCCAAAACTGCTCAATCAAAAGAAACGTCTAAAACTGTGAGATGAAT